>NC_000010.11:49840064-49991580 GCF_000001405.40 Homo sapiens
ACATTTAAAATGTATCCAATTACTAGTAAAAGATACTTTTCAGGCAGGGCATTGTGGCTCATGCCTATAATCCCAGCACTTTGGGAGGCCGACGGGGAGGAGATCACTTGAGCCCAGGAGTTTGAAATTGGCCTGGGCAATATGGTGAAACCCAGTGTATCTAAAAAAGAAAAATTAGCCAGGTGTGGTGGTGCACACCTGTACTCCTAGCTACTCAGGAGGCTGAGATGGGAGGATCACCTGAGCCCAGAGAAGTTGAGAGTCTGCAGTGAGCTGTGATCGCACATGCCACTGCACTCCAGCCTAGGCAACAAAGACCCTGCTTCAAAAAAAAAAAAACAAAAAACACAACAAAAAAAAAAATCTTCAGTACAGGCAAATCTCTGACTTTCAGAGTCAGGTAGGAGAGAACTTTAGAACTGTTGATACACCAAAGGCCGGTCTTTCTGGATAGCTTTTCTGAGGGATTACTTTTTATTTTCATTTTTAAATAAATGACACCTGTTACGTAAGTTCAACTTTAAAAAATAGTGCATTATTCTTCAAACATTTTATAAAATTTGAGAACTCTAAACATTAAAATAATTTAAAAAATTATACATACGAGAACATGTTCAACAATAAATTAGATTCTCCCAAATAGATCAGGATATAAGATACTTAATTATGTTCAAAATATCTACTAAGTTGTAAGTGTAGTAAAAATCTGTCTAGATCACTGTTATTATTCTCAGAAGTCTGTGTAGGAACTGGCACACCATGTATAGCCATGTAAAAACCACAAGCCTCATTATCCTAATAATCTTATAACTAAATCCTACTCATGGGAGTGAAAGAATGATTTTCAGAATTGGGTCAGTCTTCTTGGCTGTGTGAATAATTTGTGGAACTAAAGAAAATCTCTAGGCTGGGCACAATGGCTCATGCCTGTAATCCCAATACTTTGGGAGGCTGTGGCGGGCAGGATCGCCTGAGGTCAGGAGTTCGAGACCAGCCTGGCCAACATGGTGAAACCCCATCTCTACTAAAAATATAAAAATTAGCTGGGCGTGGTGGCAGGCGCTTGTAATCTCAGTTACTTGGGAGGCTGAGGCAGGAGAATCGCTTGAACCTGGGAGGCGGAGGTTGCAGTGAGCCAAGATCATGCCATTGCACTCCAGCCTGGGCCACAAAAGCGAAACTCCATCTCAAAAAAAAAGAAAAAAAGAAAAAAAAGAAAATCTCTGCTGAGTGAATAATTCGAGGAACTAAAAAGAAAATCTCTGCTGTTTTGGGAAAGCCCAAAATCCAGAGAACAGAATCAGCTCTCTGTTGTGTAACAGAGTTTATTTATTATGGTTGCCAATACTGAAAATTTGAACAACAGGTATGGTTCATTTTTATATTTCTGTAATAAAAAAGAAAAAAATGAATATAGTAGGCGGCACTAAGTATTACGGAAAATAATAGATACCATCATAAATCTTACCTAAAATAGAACAACATTTGATTTGGCTTTTTCAGTTTTTCTGTTTTAACCCTGATAGCATACTTTGTAGAGAAAATGTCATTAAGCAGGTCTGAGAAAAAAATTTTCAGAGCTCATTTGTTTCTATATGGTTTTACATTGATAATGTCCCATAGCAGCTAAGGTACTTGATGAGATAAATGCATGTGTGGGGTTTAAAACTAAGCAACAGCCTATCTGGCAACCTTAGCTGCGAATCAAACAATTACAAAATGGAAAGTACATCTTGTACAAGCTGACAGAGCCATTAAATCAGGAGAGCTGTGGGCAGACATACTGACACTGCAATAATTACCAGAAAGCATTAATTTCAGCATTAATAAAATGGCAGTAAATAGATGACAGCTGCCAGATGAACTAAGAAATAAGGTTACTGGCCTTGTTCAGCTCGCGTCTCATTTTCTCAGGCACAAACTGATCGAGGTAGCGTCTGAAGTGAAGAGCATCGATGGCAACGATCTCAGTGCAGCGCCGCTGCCAGTCGTCCCTGGGACAGGAAGGAAAGGGGAGAAAAGATAAGGAACAGGTAGTCGCTCAAATAAAATCCTCTCAGGGGTCAGGTTGCCAAGACTTTAGCTCTGTTAAAATATTAAAAACAAACCAGTGTCTGCAGGTCTGAGCAAAAGGAAAGGAAAGGAAACACCCTTTATTTTTAGATTGAGGCATATACAGTGTGCACTGTCAGGCTTTAAAAAGTAAAATGAAAAATTACCCAGAGACAACACAATGACATAGTGTAAACAGGTAAATCATTTATAGTAAGTCTCAGAGGTTAAAGGATTTGGGGGCAAACAAAAGGAATCTAGTTCTTTGTTTTCCTCTAATACTAAGGACATGCCACTTGCATCCTGACAAAGCTCATTCCTCCTTTGCTTTGAGAGATCTGCTTTAAATCACTGGGGTTGTAACATCACTATATACTGTCCAGGAAATAATCCTAAGAAGTGTTACAAAAATGTGAAATAATTCAGTGCAGCATTCTACCTACTGTGCTCAATTGCTGACTGTGAGAAACTATTTTTAAAATAACAAAGACATCAAAGCAGACAATACCATGTTGCCTGTGGAAATAGAAAGGACTGGTTGAGATGATAATTTTGGAAACATGTAAAATCCCAAATATTTAATCTCTTTATAAACTTGCATATATTGCTGTGCCAAGCAACTTTTCAAACTGAAAACCAACAATAGAAATCTTCATGCTGGTTTGTAAATAATTGTAAATAATGTAGAATAAACATCTACATAGATGTTTGTTGCAACCATATATTTTAAACAAAATAGCAAGAAAGCAGAGGATGGACTTGAGACATTATGAGGAATAAATTTGTGGCACGTGGGCAAGAGCTGATTCTTTCTGCCACAATGGTTTTCTCATCAAATAACAAACAAAACAAAACAAAACAAAAAACCCCACAAGCTTTCAGGTAGCATTTCTGCAAAATTTTATCTCTGGTTAACTAGAAGTAAGAATGTCAAAGTAGAAGACTATATTTCAAGAAGATATAGGAGACAAAGCAGCAAAGCACACCGCAGGTTCTGCCATCAACTGGTTTGTGGCATTAGGTCAACTGTCGCAACATAGGTTTCCTCCACCTAATTTCACAGAAAAATTAAAGATAACTTAATAAGTTGGTCAAAGGCTTTAAGCTCTAATTAGAACCTATTCTACTCAGATTTAAACATGGAATTTAACCTCCACGGTTTCTGATTGTAGCTCAGAGGTAAAGAACTGTAGAGAATTCTGCCCCTCTTTGTCTTTGCTTTAGACTTTTGGTTTTATCTTCTCTGTTCTTCCCTTTGGTACAGGAAGATGGTAATAGTGTTTTCAATGCCAATGAACCTGTAATGCTGATTTCTTTTCTTTTTTCTTTTTAAGTTCACTTGCTGAAATACAAGTAGACAGAATGAGAGTGTGTGAGGGTCAAGCCCAAATTCCTTTGCTTTTAGCCATGGAATACTGAAGACAGAAACAGACTCACCTTTCACTCCCATCTTCGTGGCTCCGGGACCAACGATATGTCTCAGCATAGCCTGTGTATTCACTGTACTGCTCAGTACCTGAAACAAACAATCTGTCACTATTAACTTCACACTTGATGGCAAAAACATTCCACCTTTCATAACATGGCAAGAATAACTTCTGTTTAGCACTGTACTGAAGGTCTCTCCAGCCAGTGCAATAAGGCAAGAAAATAAACAAAAAGGCATAAAGAATGTAAAAAAATAAGTCAAACTGTCCCTATTTGTAGATATCATGCTTGTTTACATAGCAAATCCTAAGGAATCACTGAACTAAAGAGAGAGGCCAGGCGCAGTGGCTCATGCCTGTAATCCCAGAGGCGGGTGGATTACCTAAAGTCAGAAGTTCAAGACCAGCCTGGCCAACATGGTGAAACCCCACCTCTGCTAAAAATGTAAAAATTAGCCAGGCTTGGTGGTGTGTGCCTTTAATCCCAGCTACTAGGGGGGCTGAGGCAGGAGAACTGCTTGAACCTGGGAGGCGGAGGTTGCAGTGAGCCAAGAGTGTGCCACTGCACTCCAGCATGGGAGACAGAGCGAGATTCAGTCTCAAAAGAAAAAAAAGAAAAGAAAAGAAAGGGGAAATTAAAATAAAGAAAAAGCATATAAGTAAACTTAGATCAAGGGTATGTCTGTGTACTAGCAACAAACAATGGGAAAATAAACATTTTTTAAAAATCCATTACCCATAATGTCAAAAACCATAAAATACCTAGGAGTAAACATAACAACAAAGAAGACACTACTGGCCAGGTGCAGTGGCTCACGCCTGTAATCCTAGCGCTTTGGGAGTCCGAGGCTGGTGGATCACCTGAGGTCAGAAGTTCGAGACCAGCTTGGCCAACATGGTGAAGCTCCGTCTCTAATAAAAATACAAAAATTAGCTGGGCATTGTGGCGTGTGCCTGTAATCCCAGCTACTCAGGAGGCTGAGGCAGGAGAATCGCTTGAACCTGGGAGGCAGAGGTTGCAGTGAGCGGAGATTGTGTCACTTCACTCCAGCCTGGGCCACAGAGCAAGACTCCATCTCAAAAAAAAAAAAAAAGACACTAGAAAAAAAAAGAAAACTTAAATGGAGACCTGGGAGGCGGAGGTTGCATTGAACTGAGATCATGCCACTGCCCTCCAGCCTGGGTGACAGAGCAAGACTCCATCTCAAAACAAAAACAAAAACAAAAAACAAACGAACAAACAATGAAAAAACACCTTCAGGAAAATGTTTAGACAAGACTGGAGAAAAAATATTTGCAAATCAAATATCTGACAAAGGACTTGTGTTCAGAATATGCGACGAACTCCTACATGTCTGCAATAAAAACACAACCCAATTTAGAAAAATGGACAGAAGACCTGAATATAAACTTCACACAGGAAGATATACAACTGGCTAACAACCACATAAAATATTGCTCAACATTATTAGTCATCAGAGAAATGCAAATAAAAAAAATCACAGTGAGAAACCACCATACACTCAAAAGAGAGGCTAAAATACAAAAGAATAAAAACGAATGACAACACTAAATGTTGACGAGGATGGAAAACAAGTGGAAATCTCATTTTATATTGCTGGGAGAACATAAATTGGTGTAATAATTTTGGAAAAGAGTTTGGCAATCCCTTGTAAAATTAAACATACACGTAACCTTTGACCTACAATTTCCATTCCTAGATATCTACTAAACAAATACTGAAAATGTGTGCTCACAAAAACTGCAAAGAACAATGTTCATAGCAGGTTTCCTTACAATAGATTTGTATCAGTCATTGCTCAACCAGAGAAATGGAACCAGGAGGACATATATATGAAGAGATTTATTGCCAAAAATTGGCCTACACAATTGTGGAGCTGACTAGTCAGGTCCAAAGGGTGCACTGGAACTCTCAGGCATGGGTGAAGTGGCAGTGCACAGAATGAATTTCCTCTTCAGAGAAGCCTCAGCTCTGCTCTTAAGGCCTTCCACCCAACTGAATCAGGCCCACCCAGATTATCGCTTACTTAATGCAAATTGTATTGAATGTGGCTAAGCACAGTGGCTCATGCCTGTAATCCCAGCACTTTGGGAGGCCGAGGTGGGGAGATCACTCGAGGTCAGTAGTTCGAGACCAGCCTAGCCAACATGGTGAAACCCTGTCCCTACTAAAAATACAAAAATTAGCTGAACATGGTGGCAGGCACCTATAATCCCAGCTACCTGGGAGGCAGAGGCAGGGGCATCACTTGAACCCAGGAGGCAGAGGTTGCAGTGAGCCAAGGTCACATCACTGCACTCCAGCCTGGGCAACAGAGTGAGACTTTGTCTCAAAGGAAAAAAAAATGCTTATTGAATGCAATAAGATTAACTCCTTTACTTGTAGACTTTGATCACATCTATAAAATACTTTCACAGCAATACCCGAATTAGTGTTTGACAGAATAACTGGGGGCTGTAGCCTAGCTAAGTTGACATTAAAAAAAAAAAGACTATCACAAAACTAAAGGTGGAAACAATCCAACTATTGATAAAAAATTAACAAAACATTTGCCACGATCACACAAAGGAATACTCCTTAGTAATAAAAGGGATAGAACCACTGACACATTAAAAAACATAGATAGATCTCACATTACGCTAAGCAAAAGCAGCAAGATACAGAAGTGTGTATGACATATATTTACATGACATTCTAAAAAAAAGAAAAAAGTAATTTATAATGAAAAGAATAAAAATTATGGTTGTTTCTGGGGTTGGGGACTGACCAGAAAAAGGCTCAAGGGAATTTTCTGAGGTGATAGACATGTTTTTTTTTTTTTTATGTCTTGATAGGGGTGTGGGATATAAAAGCATATCAATTTGCCAAAACTCACCATATTATCCACTTAACATTGTATACTTCAATGTGTGTAAATTTTACTTCAAAAATAAAAGAACTGTAAACAAATAATGAACTCTATTTAACAGGTTTACTTTTTGCAGTGGCATGGTTTAGAAGTTCTGAAATCACCTTTTGTATATATTAGGCTTAAACAAACGAGAAAAATTGAAGATATTGGGAGCCACATTCTTCATTGTTGGGGAAGAGAGTTCCAATTATGGAAAGGGGGAAAGACTATAATATAGGCTGTGAAGCTGGTTAAGAATGGGAGGTATCAATATAAATTCACAGTTGTATATGTGTGTGTGTGTGTGTGTGTGTGTGTTTGTAACATATATGTTCTAGTTCAAATCTTGGCTTCCAAAAACTAACTAAAATCCAGGACCACCTGCAGAAATGGCTGATTCCAGAGCTGGTGCAGGGAATATACAAGATGAGCCTACAACATCTTTTTGTGCTAAAAAGATGGAGATGCTCAAAGAAGAAAGTGCATTAAAGAATGATGGGCACATGTCAAAGGCACACAATAGTTAACTTGAAGGCATTCCCACTGATGGAATATGGGACAATTTAGCACCAAACAGAAAATAGCAATGGATCATAATCCACTGAATACAATAAGAATGCAAGTGTCTATACTTGCATATATATTAATAAATAATAAATATTAATAAATAAGTATACACAAATAAGGAAAAAGGGAAAATCCTTCCTTATAGTAGAATGCCAACTACTAAATGTAGAAAGAATGGGAGTTTAAAAAATTAGCAATGACTGCTAAAATTAGTAGGTGAAGGTTTGATGAGGACAAGATGTTTACAGTTTCAAAGTATATAAAATATATAGCGATACATTAATTACAGAATGAAAAAGTATAACCTGACAGTGGAGGAACCTGGTCAACCCAACTTAACCAAGTCATTACACTGGTGTCACAAATATTGGGACAAAGTGCTATCACATGTCTCCTCAAAAGATATACTAAATAGAACACAGTATCACTTCAGTGGGATTCCTACCGAAATGAATAACCCGAACCTAATTAGGAAGAAGCAGTGGGCAAACACAAGAAGGACAATCTACAAAATAACTAGCCTATCCACTTGAGAAATATCAAAGTGAACAAACACAAGGAAAAGCTGAGAAATGGTTCCAGTTTAAAGAATACCAAGGTGTGAGCCTGGACTAATTGAAGACTGGAAAGAAAGCTACAAAGGTCATAATTGGAATAACAAAATTATATTATAATGTAGATTAACTAACAGTACTGTATCAAATTAAATTTCCTGATTTTGATAACTAACTGTGCTGTGCTGATGTAAGACAATGTCCTAGTTCTTAGGAAATATACAACAAAGTATTTAGGGATAAAAGGGCACAGTATCTCCAACATATTCCTAAACAATTCAAGAAAAGAAAATAGAGAAAATGATGAAGTAGATGGGACAAAAATGTAAACTGGTGAATCTGAGTAAAGAGTATATGGAAATTCCATGTATTATTCTTACAACTTTTCTGTGAATCTGAGTAAAGAGTATATGGAAATTCCATGTATTATACCTGCAACTTTTCTGTAAGTCTGAAGTTTCATATACATACACATAAAAACACGTAATATAAGGCCAGGCGGGGTGGCTCATGCCTGTAATCCCAGCGCTTTGGGAGGTCGAGGCGGGCGGATCACAAGGTCAAGAGATCGAGACCATCGTGGCCAACGTGGTGAAACCCCATCTCTACTAAAAATACAAAAATTATCTGGGCGTGGTGGCGTGCACCTGTAGTCCCAGCTACTCAGGAGGCTGAGGCAGGGGACTCACTTGAACCTGGAGGGTGGAGGTTGCAGTAAGCTGAGATTGCGCCACTGCACTCCAGCCTGGTGACAGAGTGAGACTCTGTCTCAAAACAAACAGAAAAACACACAATAAAAACCACATAATATAAATAAAGCTATGAAAATACTCTATTTTCATATATGATTAAAAATTTCCAGAATCAAAAGTTCCAAGATTTAAACTCAATACTAGAGTTTCCAGTCTATTATTTAATATACTACTTCTAAAAATAATTTGTATTTTAATTATTAGACATTTATCTAGAATTTTGGACAAGATATTCATGCTAAAAATCAAGAAAATAACTAGAAGATTTATGTTATTTCTTTTATGAAGCATTCCTTGACACCATAAGTAGGGTTGATTGTTCTTCCTCCATGCTCCCAAGGTATTTTGCACATAACATTGGTAGAGCACTTAACATATTGAATTGTAATCTGAAAATCAATTGCATTTCCACATAGTAGCAATGAATAATTAAAAACAGAAATTTTAAAAACTTACAACAGCAACAAAATTATGAAATGCTTACGGATAAATCTGACAAAATGGGGAAGAATTATACAATGAAAACCATAAAATACTAATATAAAATACTAGTGAGTAAAACTGACATGAATAAACAGAGACATACATCCTAGACATGTGTCAAAGACAAAACATTGTTAAGATGTCAATTCCGAGGTGGGCGGATCACCTGAGGTCGGGAGTTCGCGAGCAGCCTGACCAACATGGAGAAACCCCGTCTCTACTAAAAATACAAAATTAGCCAGGCATGGTGGCACATGCCTGTAATCCCAGCTACTAGGGAGGCTGAGGCAGGAGAATCGCTTGAACCTGGGAGGCAGAGGTTGCGGTAAGCTGAGATCACGCCATTGCACTCCATCCTGGGCAACAAGAGCGAAACTCCGTCTCAAAAAAAAAGTCAATTCTCCCCAAACAGATCTACAGATTCAAAGCATTCTCAAAATTCAGCAAGCTGTTTTGGTAAACATTGAAATACTGATTCTAAAACTTGGCAAAACGACGCTGAAGGAGAAAAAAGTTGAAGGACCCATACTACCTGATTTTAAGACTTATTATAAAGATATAGCAACCAAAACAGGAAGAAAGAAAACAACACATTAATAAGCTTACTTCAAAACTTAAAACTTCTGTGCTTCAAAAGTCACTGTGAAGAGAATGAAAAGACATGCTAGAAATATCTGATAAAGGATTTATATCCAAAATATATAAAGCTTTCAAAACTCAATTAAAACAAAAAACAATGAAAACTTAAACAAAAGATAGCTTCATGGGTGTAGTCATACGTCCAAACTTACATAATTGTATACTTTAAACAAATAGTTTATTTTATGTCAATTATACCTCAATAAATCTGTCTTAAGAAATGGAATCTGACTCCCTCACTAGACTCTCAGCTCCTCAAGGGCAGGGATTATAAATTATAGGCGGGGTGTGTTGGCTCATGCCGGTAAGCCCAGCACTTTGAGAGGCCGAGGCAGGAGGACTGCCTGAGCCCAGGAGTTTGAGACCAGCCTGGGCAACAGAATGAGACCTTGTCTCCACTGAAAATTAAAAAAAAAAGTTAGGTGGGTGCAGTGGTGTGAGCCTGCAGTTCCTGCTACTCAGGAGTTTGAGGTGGGAGGATCCCTTGAGCTCAGGAATTTGAGGTAACAGTGAGCTATGATTGTGCCACTGTACCCTAGCCTGGGTGACAGAGATCCTGTGTCTAAAAAAAGAAAAAATAAATAATATTTTTATCTACATTAGCATCTTGTAATGCAAGAATATAAAAGCAGTTGAGTAAGAACTTGCCGAATAAACATAATAATTAATGAGCCAAAGAAATTTAACTGATGATTAAAACAATGAGTCCAGAAATAATCCGAAGGCACTACATAACTGACGCATACTAAAAATTCACATCTACAATAAATGCATGGTATGGTAAAAAGAGCACTGCACTGAGATTAGGAAACGTGAGAAACTCAAAGTGGATCTTCACTAGCTAGGTGACCTTAGATAACCAAACCTCACTGGACATCATTCCATCATCTGAAATTCAGGGTTCTTAATAATTCTTATTTTGTTTACATCATAGAATTCCTTGGGAAACTAAATAAGACAAGTAAAAAATTCATTCAAACCCACAAAGCCATCAGTATTGGTGTCATTAGAAATAATTTTTTTAAGGGGGTAGAGAAACCACAGATGCGTGATTCTATTTACTCGAGGGTGAAAAGCAACCTGGTCTACTTGCCTGATAGGAACCAAGACAGCAAGGACTACTCCTTCTTTTGTTTTCTGCCTAGCGGTAGACAAGCCTCGTTTTTCCTGTTCATAAAAAGACAAACTGCCTATTCTGATCTGTTAACTCGGAAAACAAATACTTGTTCTGTCTTTTTAAAAGAAAGTGGCTGAAAAATATAAAATATCAATTATCATGTTTCTACTTCATGTTAATATAGTTTCAGTGTTCTTCTCTGAGAGGAACAAGGTTAGATTTACTTCCTTCCCTCCTTCATGGGAAATAAAAAATACACATACAAACACTTTTGTACTAAACAAGTTAAACCCTGGGTTTTCTAAGTAGACACCTTTTAACATGCCAACTGTCTCCTTCGAAAAAAGTGAATGCCCTTAACTTGTTTAAAATTTAAATTAATGAACTATGATGAAAATATAAAGGTAAACTGGTAACAGCTACTGAGACAGAAGACTGAATGACCATTGTGATAGCTCTCACTAGGGATGGGCCTTTAAGACTTCATAGTCAAAGACCTTCACTTAAGGAAAAAACTAGAAGGAATCCATTAAAATCTTATGAGGAGTTCATGACCTCTTCATGATTTTTTAGATTTAGTAGTAAGAAACATGGTTATTTTCCCTTATTAGGAATAAGAGTTTGTAACGATCATGGGAAAAAACATTCGGAGATTAAAAAAAATTCTACTTACCAATGGATTGTTCCCTTGGAAAGCAGGTTTATATAAACACCATTTTACCCAAATTTTATTAGCATCACTCAAACAGTAGTGATTATGCAGTAAATAGAAAACTCTTGCTTTTAATTCTAATGATTATTAAAAACTTAGAAAAGACAAGCATAAAAACGTTTAATTTCCAAACATTTTTGGAAAACTCCAACTGAATTTGGACCTTTCCCAATGAGCTGGTGTCTTGACAGGCACCTCTAGTACTTTAACTCTAGAAGATGTCACCAGTCCTATAAGCAATGGTGTCTACTTGTTATCATTTCTATCAGCTCTGCTGACATTTGGAAAAGATGTAAAGATTTGTGATGTCTGGGATAATCTGATTCACTAGAGGCAGGTTTTACGTTAAATACAGGAATACTCTGCCCAGTAGGTTTCATGTCTAGGCACCTGGTTTATGTGCTCACCAAACAGAAGCAGAAAAACAACTCTCAGAAAACTTAACACCCTTTAGTATTGAAACTATTTTCTGGATGTTGTACAGAAACAAGTAAGAGAAGACAAAAAAAAAAAAAAAAAGAAGAAATGGGAAGATTGGAATTTTAACTCTTTCCCTCTATCTATACTTACTGAAAGGTTTTTAACTCATGGCTGCCCCAGGCAGGATCACAACAAACAGAGGGATAACACTGTCTGTATAAAAGTATTTGCCTGTTTGCATGACCTGTTTCATATTCTTTTAAAATAATGATACCAACCAGATGTCCCACAATGATGATAAATTTAATTTATTTCCAATTTCTCAAACTCTTCTACAGATTCAGGCAGCACAGTCACAGCCATTAGCTCACTGAGCTGGATGCATCATTGAAGGAACGGAATTGATCAGGCAGATAGATTGTAGTGCATGGCTAAGAGTCTCCTAAGGAGGGAGATGGCAGAAATCCAGACATCAAATAGATGATGAAATGGCCATTTCCATTAAGGTAACATCACATCACAGATATTAATTAGGAGGCACTATAATAAAGTTAAGTGGATGTGGGGGAAAATGCTGAGTTAAAAGTCACCCCATATGTCCTTAGCCTGAGGTAATTACAGATCTGAAGGTGAGTCATGGATCTGCAATTTTCCATTCATTTTACAATAGCTGCAGGAACGTTTAGAGATTACGTAAAAGGAGATTAGAATCCTTTTTTAGACTGGGGACAAATTATCTTTAAAAAAAGAAAATATTCTTATGTTTTCCTTTTAACATTCCTGTTTTATTCCCAAGGAAAATGACATCCTTTATTTACATTAACATTAATGGAGGATGACAATGTACTGGCTACTTTCTTCTTCTTCTTTTTTTCTTTTTTTTGAGACGGAGTCTCACTCTGTCACTCAGGCTGGAGTGCAGTGGCACAATCCCGGCTCACTGTAACCTCTGCCTCCCACGTTCAAAAGATTCTCCCACCTCAGCCTCCTGAGTAGCTGGGACTACGGGCACACACCACCATGCCTGGCTAATTTTTTGTATTTTTAGTAGAGATGGGGTTTCACCGTGTTAGCCAGGATGGTCTCAATCTCCTGACCTTGTGATGCCCCCTGCCTCGGCCTCCCAAAGTGCTGGGATTACAGGGGTGAGCCACCTCGCCCAGCCCAGTTCTTACTACTTTCTAGAGAAATTAAGCAAATGAAACAAGTTAGCTTTAAGTTTAAATGCATTTTACCAAGTTTTTTATTTCAAGAATGTAAATTCATCTTAAAAACTGATGGGATATTTTGTTCTCAGTGTTCAATCCAAATCTACCTTAACAGCTAAAAAAAAAATTTTTTTTTTTTTTTTTTTGAGACAGTCTCGCTCTGTTGCCCAGGCTGGAGCACAGTGGTGTGATCTCGGCTCACTGCAAGCTCCGCCTCCTGGGTTCACGCCATTCTCCTGCCTCAGCCTCCCAAGTAGCTGGGACTACAGGCACCTGCCACCAGGCCCAGCTAATTTTTTTTTGTATGTTTAGTAGAGATGGGGTTTCACCACGTTAGCCAGGATGGTCTCAATCTCCTGACCTCATGATCCGCCCGCCTCAGCCTCCCAAAGTGCTGGGATTACAGGCGTGAGCCACTGCACCCAGCCGGAATAACAATCTTTTAAAGTATTATTTGATGTACGTAAATGATGAAGACAGCCATATTCCAAACCTGCAGAGCTTCCCTACAATAGTATGAGACCAATAGCCAAAGTGCTGGTTGCTCAACAATAGATTTATGCCAGTTTTTTTTGTTCTGTAATTCCTTGCAATCTTATCTCCCCTAGTACCTTGCCCAATTATATACTTCCCACGTGCATCCATGATAACTAACAAATGCAGACAGATGGCCAAAATGTGAGTTGAGGAAGTGTTGAGTACAAAAGGAGTTTATCTTTCCATTTCAGTATAATTTGGATCATAATCTCAGAATTCTGAATGCAGTACTCCAAGTCACTAACTTCAAATGGCTGACTGAGGCTCTGTCCAGGAAAAAAATTCCTTTGTGGAAGTTCCAATCTTAATTTCCTACATAAACTCAGACAATTTACAATTTTTTATTTTTTGCCTTACTTCACCAAAAAAGCAGAATCACAGGGATAAAAATTTACATAGGATGTCTAAATGATGTAGAATAACTCATTGAAAGCTCCTTTATCCATGGGTGCTTACAAAAGATAAAAAGATATCAGTAAAAAATGGTGCAGTAAAAACCTCTGAAAACTCTCTCCTCCATGAAAGCAATGTGAACACTGTGATGAGCACTGTGAGAATCAACTGAAAAGTAGCCAAAGGCTTGCAGCAATCCAGGGAGTGCTTATTCAAGAAAAACCAGCTGAATCTTGGTAAAAACAATAAACTTTGCAGTGTTTTATTTGCCTTATTCCCATCCCACTCTCCCAAGCTCCATCTCGGCCTTAAAAACTAACCTTCCTGAATCACAGTGAAAATCAGAAGCCATCAGAGGGGGCAAAAGAAAGCTGAAGCTCCTTCAAAGCCCAATTCTCAGAGAACTGTCATTATTTGACCTGTCTGGTGGTCCCCTGGAGGGCCCCGCTCAGAAGGCTGTCTTTACTTTACAGGACTTGGAGCTTGGCCAGTAGGAAAAGCGTAATTCTTTTGAGGGTTTGATGAAAACAATTACAGGGATTGTTTAACACTGAAACTTCTTGAGGTGGTGGCAAACAGCTGGGGCAAACAATAGGCTAACCAAAAGCTTCAAAGGAAAAGTTGAAGAATGAGAATGTCCACAAAGGGCTTTGAAAAGTTCTAATATATTAAAACAAGAAGGAATCTAGAGGGCTCATGCGTGCCCATGGCCATATGAATGCTCAGGAAAAACTAGAGAAAGCCCTCAGCTCTCTCCTCTGCCTGACCTTGACAGGAAGTGAAGGCTAAGGCAGAGGCATCAACTGCTTAGTGCAGTGTTGAAGGTAGGCTGCACCTGCACATACAGCCCTTCAACAAAGACTATTAGACTTCATTGAGACTTATTAGTTTCAGGCATCTAAGGAAATCTGTTCAAGCATTAGCTGACTACTAATCTAACAAGCAGGGACTTCACTGGCCACACACAGAAAGAACACAGACATCACAAAATTAGTTTAGAAAAGTCATTGAAAAAACAGCAAGAAGGATGAACTGTGATGAAAAGCGAAAATCTGATTTCCAGGGTCACATTACATTATTTTAAATGTCCAGTTTTAAATGAAAATTAGAAGACATGGAAAGAAATGAGAAAGTATGGCCCATACTCAAAAAAAAAAAGCAGTCAGTAGTAACTGCCCCTGAGGAGCCCAGATGTTGGACTTAGTAGACAAAGAATTTACATGAGCTATTTAAAATATACTGAAACAACTAAAGAAAACTATGTCTAAAAAACTAAAGTATAAGAATGATGCCTCTCAAATAGAGAATATTAATAAATAAAGGGATAGAAATTATAAAAAATAAACAGAAATTTGTAATTGAAAAGTACAATAACTGAAATAAAAAATTCACCAGTGAGATTAAAAGCAGTTTAGAGCAAGCAGAAAAAACAACCAGTGAACTTGAAGACAGGGCAATTGAGACTGAGCCTCAGGAACAAGAAGAATAAAGAATGAAGAAAAATAAACAGAGCTTCTGAGACCTGTGGAACATCAAGTGAATCAACAAACACGTAATTTGGGAGTCCCAGAAGATGAGGAAAGGGGAAGAACAAACATTTGAAGAAATAATGGCCCAACATTTACCAAATATAACAAACATTAGAGAGGTTCAAAAAACTTCAAGTAGGATAAAGTCAAAGAGATCTGCATGTAGACACACCATATTCAAACCATTGAAAGTCAAAGAGAATCTTAAAAGCAAAACATAAGAAAATATACTCTTCTGAAGGTTGTCTACAAATCTATCTGAGGCACAGTGTGGCTTCAAGATTAGACTTTGGAGTCGGTTTTGTCATGTATGTCTTTGGAGGTAATGCGGTTGGGTACACATTTTATATAACTCATGGGGAGGGTTTTTCTCCTATTATAATTTTTGGGAATAACAATAAACTAAATTCTACAACCCAGGTGAGTGTTTAGACCCCGAAACTCATCTCCAAGCAGTAACAGATTCTAAGTGGAAATAAAAAATCCACTTTTTCAGGAAAAAAAAATAGTACCAGCAACTCATGGTGCATTAACGGCACTTATGTGGGAATATTCTTTTACGTACTTGAATAAAAGACTCAACTTACATATGGTGCCTGATTAAGAGTTTCTTAAGAGATATGAGGTAATCATCATTTTTCTTGATAGCTTATTCAAAGAAAATACTGTTACATAGTGATCTCAGTCTGAAGAAACAAAAAAAAATTAAATCTCTATAACAGACCTAAAGCATACACGTGACTAAATTTCCCCCCTCCTCCTCCCATATTAGCGTAAAGAAATCAAGAAGGACAAGAAGAAACACCAAGATAATCAGACTTTTTTTTTTTTGAGATGGAGTCTTGCTCTGTCGCCCAGGCTGCAGTACAGTGGCGCGATCTCAGCTCACTGCAACCTCTGCCTCCCGGGTTCAAGTGATTATCCTGCCTCAGCCTCCTGAGTAGCTGGGATTACAGGCACCCACCACCGTGCCTGGCTAATTTTTGTATTTTTAGTAGAGACGGGGTTTCATCATGTTGGCCAGGCTGGTCTTGAACTCCTGACCTCAGGCCATCTGTCTGCCTTGGCCTCCCAAAGCGCTAGGATTACAGGCATGAACTATCGCGCCTGGCCATGATAACTGAACTTTTTCTTTTAGGATTCAAAATAGGGTAAACAAAAGGTTACTGATTTCTCTAAATACTGTTCCTGTGCTTCTTATATTTACACAATGTCTTCATACTAAAGTACAAGAAACCACTTGAAAATTATTTTTAATAGAAACAAATCACTCTCAAATGGAAGAATTACAACAGAATACATACTAGAGGCATATCACTATGTTCTTCTTAAGAGCATTATTATGTCATAAAATTTCAAACTGCCAAGCGTGGTGGCTCACGCCTGTAATCCCAGCAATTTGGGAGGCCGAGGCGGGCGGATCACCTGAGGTCAGGAGTTCGAGACCAGCCTGACCAATATGGAGAAACCCTGTCTCTACTAAAAATACAAAATTAGCCGGGTGTGGTGACGCATGCCTGTAATCCCAGCTACTCGGGAGGCTGAGGCAGGAGAATCGCTTGAACCTGGGAGGAGGAGGTTTCGGTGAGCCGAGATTGCACCATTGCACTCCAGCCTGGGCAACAACAGCAAACCTCTGTCTCAAAAAAAAAAAAAAAAAAAAAAAAATTCAAACTGTGGGGTAACTGAATAGTTTTTAATCCCTGTTCCTCAGATAAAGATGCCACGAAAGAAAGAAAAGGTAAAAATAAGATGTCTTACTTAAGATTAGGAAAATAAGGCTGTAATAATTTCAAAAACTAAGTATAAATTAATGGATAAAAATATTGGGACTGATGCCCATGGAAGATAAAAGCTATACTGGGTAGTCTCTAGTCTTCATGACAGATATTCACAGATGGGGAAGACTACCCCATTTTCCAGGCTTCCCAAAACTAACCTGTGATAATTAGACATTCATTGTGATCCAGCACCTCAGTGAAGAGCCGTGAAATAATCAACTCAGGATTGATTAAAAAGCGGATTTCTTCTTGCACAAGTCCTGCACTGGTTACACCACCTCCAACAAAACGATTTGCAAAATCCACCTGTTGGGGAAATGTGACATATTAAATAATGGTCAAAAATACCTACACATATGATCAAGAAGCACATAGTCTCTAAGCTCTCATCTTTTCCTCTCCCATGAAAATCAATCCCCAAATAAGTAATCTTCCCAGGAAGGGCAGATTTTGGTTGCTTAAGCTCTTTCCACCTCACTGCAGTTAACATCTCTGCACATTTTTCTGGATCCCAGAACCAGAGAAGCAATCTGGAAAATGGAGCTTTTAGGCAAAATATTATGTATCATACAGACTCTTGTTTATAAACCTATTTGTGTCTCATGGGCCACAAATCAAGGGAGGTCTTTATCTGGGAAGGTTTCAAAGTCATTCTCCCCCATTCACTACTCAACTTCCCTTTATGTATTTCACGTGACTTTAATATAATTAAACTTTTCTTATGTAATATGGTAACCAAACACTTGCCCTAAAGAACTGAAAAGTTTAGTAATCAACTTTTTGGGTAACCTTTTCCAACTTTATTGTAAGAATAAAGAGATCGAATTTTTGTCCTTCTAAATTCAACCCCAAACCCCAAACTACATGAACATTACAAACTACTTTTTAAAAATATAACTAAGGAAAAAAGGAAGAAAGAAAACCCAGTATAGCAACAAAGATTCAATTAAAGTAATATTTCCAATTAGGTTGGAAACTCTTAAGCTTTATGTGGAGTAGTATGATGGGATCCCCAAATGCCTACTAATAAAGAAGAATTACACAATCCTCCAGAGAAAGCAAACTCAACTTGCTGGCATTATTTCCGTTTGTCCAGTGTGTCCAGCACTATGCCAGCCTCATGAAGCAGTATGTAAGAAATAGCAACCATCTTTTCCTTAGTGAGACTATCTGAGGAGTTAGATCACACACACACACACACACACACACACACACACACACACAACTTGTGTATATACATAGTCATACACACAAGTAAAATAGGATTTACTAAATACCATGAGGCTTATATTCTTTCAAACTATTTTAAAATATACGATTTCTTAAAACTTCAGTGTTCTCTAAAGCAACTGATACTAAATGACAATCTGAAGCCTATTTTACAAAATAGTAAAACAATAGTATGAATCGTTTGATATGTAAAAATATATGTCAAAAGACAGAAATTAATAGAAGGCGAAGCAGTCTTCTTTTACCACAGGAGAACTTAGAAAATACTAAAACATACCACTGAGGAGTTCTTCAATTGAGCTACCAGAGAGAATCATATATTTGGATTTGTGTTCTGGAGTACTAAAACCAATGCTAAAAAACCAGAGTAACTCTTTAGCTTAAATAGGAAAATAATTTTGGTGAAACCAGTCTGTTGATTAGAATTAGCTACCTACTACATATGAGGTCTATGGGCACTGGGTGATTCATGGCTTAAACTGTCCAATTCAACAAATATTTACTGAGTATTGTGCTGGGAATCACTGGATACAAAGATGAATAAGGTATGTATGGTTCCTGGCCTCACGGCATTTGTAATTTAGATGGCAGTCAGAATGAGCATAAGCAGAATGAGAAGATGATTATTGAAGAGCTTGTTACTATGTATTTGATACTTTCTAATAATACAATTAACTAAAATTGGAGCATGGGAGGAAGATAGGAAAGCTTTACAAGGGGATGTGGCAGCTGACATGCAGGCTGAGGGCATAGCTGCACAAGGACACAGGGCAAAAAAAAAAAACAAATGTAAATCACTATATGAGGGGAATGGTAAACAGATTCATTGTGCTTGCCTGCAGTGTAGAGTAGGTGGAGGCTTACAGTTGGTGATGAGGTGGTCTGAGGTCTAGGGAATTTTTACTCAATTTCCCTCTGAAGGTTCTGGGAAAGATTCAAGTAACACCTGGACCTATGTTTTAGGAAGATAATTCAGGCTAGAGTTTAAAGAATAAATGGAAAACTGTAAAACTAAAAGTAAAAATGCTGGTTAGGTGAGTACTAAATAGTTTATACAGGCACTACTAGGGCCTCAAACAGGAAAGTGGTAAAGTAAAGGAAAGAGAAGAAACTCGGTAAAGAAATAAAATGGACTGTACTTGAGAACTAAGAGACTGGCTGAGTGCCTAAAAGTATAATGATATTGTGACTACAAATGAGAAACAGACGAGGTTTAAGATTGGCCTAACTTAATTTTTACTGGAATAAGGTACATAACAAAAATAAAAAGATAAGCTCTATCCAACTTATGTACTACTTGATAATGATGATGAAATACATTCAATGTGTATGTTATTGTTTACTCTTTGAATAAAAGGCCCACATTTTTAACTTGAAAGGTGTGCACAGAAATAAAGACACTAAACTCAGTATGCCTCTAAATGCCAAAGTCTTTTAGAAAACCAAAGTTTTACTACTTAAAAAAGTTCTTAACAATAAAGACCCTCTACAACAGTTGAGAAACCTGTTCCAGTACATGAAAACAAGAATGTGAATGCATCCTTATTTTTAGCCAGTTATTTTCCAAGTCACTTTAAAGCTACTCATTCAGATTACTCAGCTTCTGAATTATAACTTGATGAAAAGACAGGAATGATAAAGCTCCTCAGAGAGGTTTTGTTGTTGTTGCCATTCAGCATCATGTAATTTATATGCTACACAAGGAGCTCTGTAGCATTGCAATACAATATTCCCCGATCTCCTGCGGAGACATGGCATGGGTAGGGAGAACAATTAATAGCAAGAAGCCCTTACGGTATTCTCTAATCTACCGAGGTCTCACATTTCCATCTATAATATATTCCGAGGAAGTGGGGAGGATCTCAACCTTAACTGTTGTTAAATAATTCCTTGTTGAATTGTATTGTAATGAAAGGTCAGCATTCCTGTGGTGCTAACTAGCAGTAACTTTGTTTAGTTCATGTGTATTAAGAATCTCTCAGTTTATCCAAGACTTTAAAGATGGAAAGAACTTCATCAAGAGGGGAATGTGGGGGAAAAAGTGATACTAATTTGAACCAATATTTAAGCATATTTTAAGATTATTTTTTAAACAGAAAAAAGGTATAGGAGTAAATGCAAATTTAAATATGTTTTGTTTTTGTTTATAAGCTCAAATAACCACTGGGAGAAGGTGATTTAGAATAAAACATAGTTTGTCTCTTTGAAGATTTTAATTACAAATATGTCCAAATAAAAGGCCATTTAAAAAAGAATCTCAGTTTCATTTAAATAATAACTAGACGTAAATCTTATAGTGAGCATTAAGTTATTCAAACAAATCAGTCCATTTTCAGGCAACTGCTTTCTTTAGATTCTGAACCAATATAAGCACCAAATAAGAATCTAAGAAGAAAAATAAACTATTATCAGTATAAATGAGATGGTATACAAGCTTCTTTCAAAGAAAACTCAGTTTACAATGCTCTTATAAATGGGATAAGAACACAAAACACTAACATTAGTGAATGTTAAAGAAGCATTATAAATCAAAAGATTAGGTTAGATATTACTATATTTTAAACACGGGGCTTTTGTTAACCCCCTTCTCCAAAAATACTTTTTAAAGGTAAAGGCGGTAACAGATTATTAACAAAGATTGAGAAGTGGACCAGAATTACCTGCTTTTAACAGGGAAAAGACATAGCAAACAGCTAGCTCACGTGCGTGAAACTGTTACATATGAGAGAGAGGCCTTTCTTATCAATCAGTTTTAGATGTCTGCCCCCTCAACCTAAACAAAGCTGTTGGTGGCAGAAAAACATCTCCATCTGGTCATCAACTGGGGCAGAGCAAGAAGAGCCTTTAAGGAAAAAGAATAAAAATGCCTGGTGACAGTCTGTCAAGACTATACCCTGGGAACTTCCTCCACTGTCAACCTACTATCAATGTCTGAACCAAGAGGCTGATGCTGTCCAGATCTTGGGATTTTCTGTCAAAGGCTTTTTAGAGAAGCACATATAAGAAACAGAGAGTATACACTGGCAAATCACAACATTACCAAGGCTGTCAAAGTGATCTGTTTGGTGTTTTTCTTCATTCTGCTATCATGCTTCTTTGCATTAAATCAGTTTAGGAGACAAATAAACAGTTTTTCAAATTTCTTTTGCTGTCAGAAGCTTGACAAGAAAAAGTCCTAACCATACACAGACACTACTAAGATTCACCTACCTGTAGCATGCCTTGGCCATTTTCTTCTATGGTACCTTCGTAAGTGACATGCAATCGTGTCAAGGGTTTTTCACATCTACAATATAAAAAGACATTCCCTTATTTATTATTTTAATGACAAGTTGTTCACTGCGGACAAAAGTGAAAATATAGGTAACTATTCAAAAACCGAAACCACCCCAAATCTCGAAAGTCAGAAACAGATGCCTACTGTTAACATTCTTGGTATTGATCCTCCTTTATTCAAACATGTAAATATACATATTTAAATTAAAATTGGATAACATAGTTTGAAACCTGATTTTCCTCTAAATAATATGAAAGTTTTTCTTCTTTAAAACAGTTGAAAAACATTACAAAATATTAAAAAAATTAAGATCTATGAAATTTTGTTATGGCTAGAGTTGGCAATCTGAGGAAAAATGTAGAAAAAATTTGGCAATAAATCATATATGATTCTCTTCTGGCTTCCATTTTCTATTTTCACTGTTTCATAACCGTGTGTGTGTGTGTGTGTGTGTGTGTCTTGATGAAAATACCTGCGACAGAAATTCTGAACAATGGTATTTTTCTATTAATAAGGTTAACAGATAAACTTAGTACCTGTAATTTAGAAGGCATAATTATTTTCTTTCCCTTTCAACCATGGCCACTGAGGTATTGACTTATGTTATATTAACAACAAATTCCATTGTATCAAAAGTATTTGTTAACATTATTTGCCTTATTAGATATTTTTCCCCTGATCACTTACTGAATAAAAAATATAAATGAATGAAACAGAGGAGATCCAAAGTTCTAACTCACATAAGAGTGCCCATAATCTTTTTTGGGAGGGAGGAGATGATTATATTTTTAGAAAATAGTCTAGGAGGTTAGCTGGAAAAATACTGAGAATTGTTTGATTCCTTCCTGGTTTCAATGAGTTTAAATACATTTCTGGCAAAACTCCAGCCCAACAGGCTGATAGCTTTAACTCAGAAGGTAATTCTGCACAGGTTCTGTCTAAGAGCCTTATTTGTATTAACTCATTGAATCCTCTCAACAACCCTATTACTATCTCCTTTTATAGACGGGGAAACAAAGCACAGAACATCTAAGTAAGCTAACCAAGACTAGTGAAATAAAGCAGCAGAGATGTGAAACTAGGTAGACTCACTCAAGCTCTGAATCAGTATGCTACACTTTTAGAAAAATTACTTTCCCAGTCTCTTGTAGAAAACAGTATCGTAAGTTTGATATATTTTTTTAACTTCCTTTTTTTGGTCCTACTTTCCTAGCCATTTTATTCAGAGGAAGACCCCTGTAAGCATACTACTAAAAAGATAAAGAAGCATAATCTAAAAATCTCTGGGCTGTCAGTCAGGACTTCAGAATGGGAATTCCATCTGTTGTCAACTATTCTCCATGACTGAAGCTAGAAACTTTATAGTATAGCTCTTAATAAAATCACGAAATTGCTAGAAACCTTTTCTTGGTTTTGTTTTGAAGCATTTTCTAACTTCCCAGTAGGTCATCCTCTACACCCCCGCCCCAGGAGTCAGAGACGTAGATGATTCTGGCTCTCTGTGATTAAGCCTGGCTAAAGTATTTGCTGATAATCAAAGGGTTAACTATAACATGCCACAAACATGGAATTCAGGAAAGCCTCTAAGTTCCTGGACCCATTTAGCCCCTTACGCTTGGGAACACCAACAATCCTTATCTTTTCTTCATTCTCCCTCTTTAAGTGAATGCATGTTTCTGGTTCTGTGGAGTCTGGGAGACTGGTTTTAATTATATTCTCCAACTCACTTATAAAGCAACTAAAACAAAAAAGAGATCAATGAAATAAAAATAAGTCAAATTCTGCCTATCAAAATTAAGGGGACAATCTTCGTCTCACTTAGAGGCAAAGTTACTGTGTCTCATTGACACAGCAGCCTTGCCAGTCTCTGCATTTTGACCTGTCCCTTCTCTCCCACATGGTGGTATACAAATGGGTGTTCTTTCACATTAGTGCCAAATGAATATCAGATGCAAAGTAGAGATCCTGGATGACTTAAAAATAAGCCCTCAGATTGATCTATAAAATCTACACCAAAGTAACAGGAACAAAACATATGCATTCCTATTAGAGATTAATAGAAGAGTGAAGAAAAACAATCCTCTGCACCATAGAGATGACACAGCAGAATGGTACTTTTAATTCCAGGCACTATATTTTAAGAGGGCCCAATGAATGGGAGTATGTTAAGAGCAGAGATAAAGGGTTTAGAATCCATATTACATGTGAAATAGAAGAAACGAATCAGTTTAGTATGAACTTGTATGCACTGTTAGAGAGGGAAGTAGGTTAAGAAGCCATTAAGATACATGAAGGAGGGTCAAATGTTAAAGAAAACTAGAAATTCAGATTTATTTATGTAGCTCCAGAAGGAAGAACCAGGAATGGTGGAGAATGAATGTAGAAAACATTTTTAGTGAATGAAAGCATGAGATGATAACACAAGCAGCCACCAATGGAACAAACTGATACGAAACAGCGGATCTGCCATCACTGAAGCTATCCAGTCTTCTGTCTGTTGCAGGTATTACAGAGCTGATCAAGAGTTTTAGCAGGCGGCCGGGGTTCCTTTCAGATCTAACATGCCATGATGCCAAAATGCTGTACGTGTTCTCATCTTTTTCTGGCTCATTTTTTTTTCTCTCTTCAGGTCGCTTAACCTTTTATCTACTTCCCTCTATTAATAATCATCTAAACCACGCACTCAGTCTTCTGAAGTAAATTTCTTTATCTTTCACTTCACAAATAAACATCTTTGATGGATGAAAACACCGCAGGAAAGCCACCTAAGCAGATATGACTTCTCAAGTTAACGTTTTTTTAAGTGATTTCCATTCATCACTAATTCCAAACAAAACAATTACAAACTATCATAAAATTATTAGAAAGTGAAAATGGGAGGCATTGGTTAAATATGTATTTAGTATGCTTCATCATGTCCTCAAACATATTTAAAAAGTTAATCTACACTTCTTTAAGTGTCCTGGGGGACTTGCTTTAGATTAAGAAATATGTTAACTATTTCAGGACCCTTCTTTAAGTATATTGGGAGACTTGCTTTAGATTAAGAAATATGTTAACTATTTCAGGACACTAAGGACTTTACAAATCTGAATTAGCTCATATTGGCTGCTATCTCCTCAATATTTTCTGATAAATAAGAAACAAACAGTAAATAGCAACTTCCACAAAATCTACCAGTAGTACACAAGGGCAGCCAAACTTCAAAATTCTTGCCACTCGACGAACTCTAGATGGTTACTGTTTACTAAAATGTAAATAATAAAAAGACTTTTCTCAATCTTGTCCTCCAGAAAGAAAAGCCATAAAGTTCAAACACTAACCAAAAAAAAAAAAAGGGTAAGGAGAAACATTTAAATATTGGTGTTCCTTGTATTAGTGTCTTCACATACAACACTTCTCAATTTTAAACAGGACTTTGTTTCAGAAGACAAAACCAAGACAAAATGGTAGAAATCAAAGGGTTATAGACTTTGATTTAAAAGGCATAACCTTTTCAAACATGAGAGCTATCAATGGATCATTTATGAGAAGAAATTCCCTGGCACTAGGATAAATAGAGGTTGGAAAACCATCTTTCTAGGTGCTATAAAATAGAATCCTCTCATGGTGCAAGAGTCCTTCTATTTCTAGGGGGTCTAGGATTATTTTTATTATTGTTGTTACCTTTCCCATTCTGGAAAATCTTCAAGACTCTGTCTTGTAAATGTCACCAACCCAGTAGGTTCTACAGAAGCAATAAAAGAAAAACATACCCAAAATAAGTTTCAATTTTGAAAAGATTATACACACACACACACACACACACACACACACACACACACACACACTCGGTAAAAGAATAGGTCTAACATTGGCTATAAAACTAACCAGGAAATACAAAGCCTAGCATTGGAAAATAACAGAATATTGATTGAAAATAATATCCTTACAGTAGAAACTCCTTCTATAAAATAATAAGACTTCACTAAACGAAACTATACAAATAACAGCACAACAGTAGGATTTGAGTGCTGGTATTTTTGGTAAAGTTTTTGAAGCTGAATACACTTTTTTTTAAAAAAAAAAGCATTGAAAAAAAGGATGTATAACTGGTACAGCTAATGCAATAAAGACAAAATTGAATTCAAATTTGTAGACTCCTTTACAAAGAAAGGACTTAACCCTACATTCAAAGACTGGAGAATAAATACACATTTATGTACTATATGGTAAAGTGAAATGCCACAGATTTAAAAAGGAAATCATTTGCACATCCTCTGGAGTTAGTACAGCTAAGTCTCAGGCTTAAATAGTGGGCAATCACTCTACTTGTTAGTAGCAGTCGTAGCCAGAGGAGAAATTACTGGTTCTAAGAGTTTACAGAACAAAGATGACATATTTTTCAAGGAGCAATAAATCTGGGAGGATCTAAATGAAGTACTATTAATGTAGTCAATAATTTTAGAGGATGAGATCCTTTTCTAGTCAGATTTATTTATTTATTTTTTAAAGCTAGTAGCAAAAGAAACTAATAAATCAGCTGGCCAGAAGTAATTTGTCTGATTCAAATCAAAGAACAAACTAAAAAGGCCATGCCATTTCTGTTTTCTTGAATACAAAAAAGCTCTTAAGGAAAGAGAGAGATGTCAGGAACTATTAGTGATGACAGTGTATAACCCAGTGAAAGCCTGGCCATCATTTCATTCCTGTGCACAATTCCACATTTCCTTGTTCTCAGTCAAAAGCAGGAAACACTCAAAAACCATATGGAGCAGTTGCAGTAGAAAACAAATTTTTTTGTTAAGATGGGTCTTACGTCTTTTAGATACCTAACTTTAAGATAAATGGATAACATATTTAAAACTCACAAGTAAGTGGTCAAACAACTCAAACACTAGTGAAGCAATTCCATGAATATAATAGAAAACATCTCTCTTGTCATTCGGTAACTTAGCAGAGAAGAACATCAAATGTCCTTAATATATACTAAGAGATGCTAAAAGAAATTCATAAACACTGCTGGCAAAGCAAGAAAAGGCAGAAGAACATGGTTTCTTAGATTAACAAAAATGCCTTGAGAGCACGTCTGTTAGCATTTTTTCGTAACAAGGCAACTTTCATCTCAGAATAGGATACTTTGATTAATCAAATACTTCCCATCATAAAATCACAATATATACTATATACAGGTCATAAATTTTCAAAAACCTCATCTATAAGACACTTTATCTAAAACTATATAGAAAGTAATTTAATTCAGAAGGCTTTTTAAAATACTTCAGTCTCAAGATCTTCATCAGATATAAAATACACATGTTTAACAACACTGAAAAGTTGGTCCTGATGGAATTCTAGTTTATCAATTCTAAAAGGCATGTTTTTTCACGTTACATTTCCGAAACTGGAACACATCTTTTATAATGGAGGTATCTTACCATAGGTCTAGACTAGAGGTGAATTTTCCCAGAGAAGATGTGCATCTGCTTCTGCTGTCGTCTGGGAACACTATCAGCCTGATACCATCTGAATTAATCCTTTGTGGCAGGCCTTTGTGGACCACACTGGTGGTAAGGCTGCACACTCAAAGCTTAGGGCTTGTGGTTCAAATTCTCAGAGAAATGTTTTTTTCCTTTCTCTATTTAGTGTCAAGGTTGAGACTTGCACGTTTCTTTATGGTCCCTTTCCTGGAAGGTCAAGTTAATTTCTCATTTATCCTTAGGTGTACCAGCCTTGTGGGTCATGTCTCCTACTAAACTCCCTGTCCTGAGTGTTTTTTCCTTCTTAGAGGTATATAATATAAGAGCATTTTTAAAAAGTCATCTATGACATCTCAGATTCGATGAAATACGGTACCTTAAATAAGCTTCTGAAGTCTATTGAGTAGGCTCCAGAACTTCTACACAACCACTCATTATACTGCAACCTCTTTTATTCTCTTTAGTATTTCCTCTTCAAACCATTAGCTTTACACACTGAAGACCAAGAGCAATGTTGTACTGTATTTCTACAAAGAACTTAATTAACATGTACAGTGAAAAAGTCAGAAAATAAAATGTCTAGTTATAATTTATTTCTTCAAATTCCCAATACTTATAATGGCATATACATTTCCAGCTGAAAAAACAAACTTTAAGCTTTTTCCTCAAAGTATCTGAAATCCTAAAATTTAGAAAGCCAAGTTAGTTTTTAGAGAAGACATACATGATTTGACTCCCAGGACAAAAAAGTAAACTCTGTACTACTTCGTTATAATAATTCTACTTAAAATGGCAACTCAAAGTACTGTAAAAACAAAACAAAAAAAACCAATAGTAATAATTCTAATTAGACCTAGAATAGCCAAAAAAAGCAGTCATTTATTTATTTTTTTAGACAGAGTCTTGCTCTGTCGCCCAGGCTAGAGTGCAGTGGCACAATCTCAGCTCACTGCAACCTCCACCTCCTGGGTTCAAGTGATTCTTGTGCCTCAACCTCCCGAGTAGCTGGCATTACACTCTCCCGCCACCGCGCCTGGCTAATTTTTGTATTTTTTAGTAGAAATGGGGTTTCACCATCTTGGCCACGCTGGTCTGGAACTCCTGACCTCGTGATCCACCCACCTTGGCCTCCCAAAGTGCTGGGATTACAGGCGTGAGCCACCGTGCCTGGCCTTACGTAGTCATCTTTTTAACAAGTCATTACAAATTCTAATTTGATTTTGTGTCTCATAGGTCCAAATGATTCTGCATTGTAATATTTCATTCAGTACAGGGCACAAAACTGAAATTCGATAAGCTATGAGATAATTCCATATCAGAGAAGCATGTAATTTTCCCTTAAATATCAAAATCCTGATAATTGATTTCATTCTAAAAATTTAACAATGTCCAATAGCAATACATTCAAGGGGGAAGATGCCAAGTACACTGTAATGCAAGAGTAAAAGAAGGATATGAGAAAAATGACCTTAAAATGATTCAAAGACATATTTTAAGACAATCCTATGACCCAGAACTGAAAAAAAGCCATTTCACTTGACCAGGTTGACCTTACCTACTTAGCACAAAGAAACTTTTGAGGTGTTCTGGTTTACATCCACTTGTAGGAAAGGCTACCCATTGATAATAGCTTACATTTATTAAGCATGTATCTTCTTGTTTAATATCTATAACTACCCTGTAAGGTAATGGCCGTTATTATATTATTTCATAGGTGATAAAACTGAAGCTTAGAGGTGTCAAGAAACTTGACCATGGTCATTCAGCTTCTGAGATAAGAGTGGCAATACCAATCTATTATCAGCTGGTCATTACCAGTATTTGTTGGACATTTACTATTACTGTCTTAGCTGCTATCAGTTTTTGGGGAAGCAAGAATGTTAAGGTTCAATAGAGGAAGATGGAGATATAAAACTCAGTACAAAACAGTTTTATAAGAACTCCACAAAGGGCTTAGGGGGGCACAAAAGAGAGGAATGGGTAGAAAAGCAATGCGTTAGTTGACTTATGCAAATAAACTAGTGAATACTTCTTTAAATAAAGAGCATCCAAAATTTATTTCCTGGTCAATATACTTTCTCTGGTTTTTATTCATGAAAATCTTTTGATGTATATTACAGATTTCAGAGAATATGGGTCCGATTTCAGAGTATGTAAACCCCGCCCCCCTACATTTAGCACACGTTTATGCTTATACACAACATAAGCATAAAACTAGGTTATATTGTCGCATCATTACTAGTGTTTCAATGTGGTTGGGACAGGAAGGTTTACGTTAAACACAAAATGTTCCTCACATGTCACTTGACTTGAACTGTTCCCATCAGCAAGAAAAATTACAGTAAGAATGAAAGGAATTTACTTTTCTCTGTGACTCTTCTAAAGTAGCAGAAGAGCGTTTTAAGTTTCTCCGGTTTCCTTGATGAACGTCCCTCAAACAATCTAAGAGATAAAAAATAAAAGAGAATGGAAGATAAGTTAAAATGCCTTAATGATTCACAAAACTACATCCATATTGCTACCAAGTAATACAAAGAAATAATTCTTCCAGAAGACAATTCTGTAATGATAAGAACTGGAAAATTGGTTTAGATTCAAATGGCATCTGGAAAGAACTGAAACCAACTAGAACCAGACTTCTTCAAAGCTGCTCAAATCAGACATCATTTACTACCAACCACATTTCTCCAACCTATCTTCCACCACAGAGAAGGCACCATCCAGCCCTCCCAGTCAACTGGGGTCAGTCAGTCAGTGCACAGCTACTTTCTCAATGGCTAAAAACATTTATAATTCATAATGTTACTACGTAGTTTGATAAGTAACAAAAACGGTATCAAAAAAAATCCTTATCTGAGTGTTTGTGAGGAAATGAGAGTGGAGGGGAATGGGGGCAGGGACACAGGCAGGTATAACAAGATATCAGGGCTCAACAATCCTTGTTAATTAAACAACTAGATTCTTTTATGGACTGAATGTTTGTGACCTCTCAAAATTTATATGTTGAATCCTTAATCCCTAATATAGCTAAATTTGGAGATAGGGCCTGTGAGCAGGTAGTAACAGTTAAATGAGGTCATAGGGGTGGGACTCTAATCTGATAGAACTGGTGTCATTTTAAAAAGCAAGGTGAGACTACAGTACTCTCCCTCTGCCATGTGAGGACAAGATGCCAGCCAACCTATAAGCCAGGAAGAAAGCCCTCATCAGGAACCAAAGCAGCAGCACCCTGATCTGCAGCTTCTAGCCTCCAGAACCATGAGAAAATAAATTTCTGTTGTTTAAGCCACCCAGTTCTATGGTATTTTATTATGGCAGCCCAAGCTGACTAATAGAGATCCTTTGCATGGTAACCACAACAGTGCCTACCCTGTGTCATCTAGTTTTCAGCAACCCGGACTTGGATTACTTAATTCCGTTTTCTTTGAAATGATGTGGCATTGTTATTGGTAACATACAATTCAGTTTATTCTGAGGAAAGAAAAGCAGGGCTTTAAAAGCATTATGACCTGAGTAAGTAGCTCACTAAAAGATTTCTAACACAAAAGCATGCTTTTGAGCATAAGATCTAGCTTTCCAAAGGCATTTAAAAATTATAGAGACTCAGTGGCTATGAATGATGAGGTACTCTTCATCTGCCTCTAGTCATGTGCTCTGACTTTAAAACCAGAGACCCTTCAAGTAAAGTCCATGTTAATAAGTGCTGAAATGGGTAATTATTTTTCATGATTACAACAGCAAGCTTATGTAACTACGCTGAGAGGGAAAAGTTAATTCCATGAGAAAATCCTATTGAGCGACTGAAATAAATTAGGAAAAGGAAAGGAAATGCACATTTCAAATGGTTCCGTTTTCAATGATCTGAAATCTGTATTCAGGGTCAATTTCTGGAAAAACAATTTATATGAATATTTATTTCCTAAAAAGAATACTAATGTATGCTAGTATTTTAACCAAATCTAAAATCAGATCTCTTTTTAAAAATAGTTTAAGACAGCCTGTGTGATAATTTTTATTTAAAGAACCTATCTTTCTAAAATATTTAATACACATACTCTTATAATCCAGTTGCCAGCTGAAAGAAAGGCTCTTTGAGGGTGCAGGTTTCAGCATGGCTTCTTCTAGAACAGAGTTTATTTAAGTCAAAATGAAGAAGCCACATGGCAGTTTAATTAAACATCCTATATCAATAAATATGATTTACTAAATGAATACCTAAGGCTCCACTGCAAAATCTCTTTCTAGGCTCACTATGCACTAGAGGAAAGCAATATGAATACAAAAGTAGCCACCACCTTTTCCTAGAGATGAATTGATGTACTATACAATTCAATTAAAGGATAAAAGTTCTTCTTCAATAGAACTATTGCATAGTGAGGAGAAAATGGCTGTTGCTCTTAAGAAATAATTCTCTAAAACATAGGAAAAGTGTCCCTAGCTTCCATATGCGGTCATCTGTATAAAATCACATAAAAGGTCACATACTTCACAACCATGATGACAAATTATTAACTTTAGGAGCCTCGTGAGACTGCAGATTTATTATCCTGGCGAGACAGACTTTCCTGGAAGATTTTATGGCTGTTATTATCACCCACTACAAATGAACACCACTGTTTATTTTGTAGGTACAAATCTTAAAGGTACAAATCAAGCAGAATCTCAATGTACTCTGTTTATTCACTGCTCCAATCCTAACTTCAAATCACTGTGTAACCAAATACACTTTCCCATCTTCCTGATAGAGCAGGGGGAAGTGGGGGAAGTGTCGTGGTGGGTGTCGGGGGTAAGAAGTGGAGATAAAGTCAGAGGAGATGAAGCAGGTTTAAAATCCTTGTGACAATTCTCAGACTTGGCTGTTGTGAAATTTTAAAGTTGTATGCACAGCCACTCAAATAAAATGAATTATCCTGATATGGAAGCAAGTAAAAATAACATAAATAGACAGGCAAACAGCATGAATGAAAGTCATCCCAGGAGTGATATACAATCTGAGGGACAGCTTTTGGGAATGAGGAGGAAAACAAAAGGACTGAGGCTGGAGCCCAAGAAACGGGTGAAGGGGGAGAAGAAAGATGGGGCAGGGAAGATAGAGAGAAGAGAAAGGCTGATAGAAATGGGGTTAGAGAAAGAGAGCATGAGAGACAGACACACAGAGAGAAAGACATACACAAACAGGCTCAGAGAAAGTGAGGCCTTCTCATAATCATTAAGCATCATTCCCCCGCCCCCACTTTTTTTGTAAACTTCCCAACACCTTTCTTTTTTAATTTAGATTTTTCAAGTCCTGGGTATGTATATTTGAAGGCATATTTTAAGTCAGCAGTGTGCACACAAACCAGGCCACAATAACTCCTCTACATGTAGGGAGGACATTTGGGCATTTAATTGAAAGATAATTACAGATTATTAAAGAAATCAAACACAAAAAGCCAGTCAGGAAATCTTACTTTGTTCTAAACAAAACTGTTGGTATTTTCAAAGACAGACATCAGTCAAAGGTCAGACACTTATTAGCTGGTGTTTTTCTTTGCATACTTATAAGGAGAAACAGAGTTGAATAAAATCTTTCCCTGAATGGAATACTGATAACATTACTGGAATTTTATTCTAGGTATATCCATCCCCACCCCCACCATGACCCACTATGCCATTTCAAGTTAAGTAATAATCCCATTAGTATACAGTAAATCAAACCCAAAGCACTACAACCTCCATTTTAAAATACGAGCAAGTGATAGTCCGGAACCCAGCCAGAAAGTCATTCCTGGCTCTTCTGTGAGGCACTCTGCCATATGGCCCCAGCAGCATTTTCAATACAGGGAAGAGGCAGATGTAAAAACCTCCTGGGCTGACCACTGCTGAGACCCACAATTTATCTCTGACCATCTAGTTTCCATGCAAACTCAGAAGCATCGATGCTAATCACATTGGAAGCCTTTATATGAATGTTTAGGACCTGAAAGGCAAGCAGGGAAAAAGGTCAGGGGTATTTACCATAACTAAGCAGGGCTTAAAGAACACAGCAATAAATAAAAAAGGGAAGACATATTCAATTTATTGACTTCAGCCTCCCACCACATACTCTTACCATTTTTCTTATTCAACTAGCTAGCCATACCTCTCTTTTGAGATTAAATACACTCTCACACACACAACTCCCCACTGCTAGAAACTATAATCATAAGTAGAAACTATGCATAAAAGGAAATAACACAATAAAATGCTACATAATCAGCTTAACAAATGGCTCATCAGATTACGTACTGGATCTTTCAGAAGCCACATAAAAGTGGGGGGACTTTCAGTTGTTTGGCATTTCCGGAGCACTCAGAGCATTTTGCTCATGACAGGCTTTGAGATACAATAAAAGAAAACTGAGTTTGAGTAGAAGACAGTGATCAAGTTCCAGTTGTGCTAACAATTCATTTATTCTCCCTGAACCTTATCAGTAGAGAGGCTTCCCTACCTAGAAAATTCCATAGACAGAATCAAAGCAAGCCATCAAAAGACAGTATCAATGGTGATGTACAGTTGTTGTTCCTATTATTTGCTAGCTTAGGCTCATTAAAACACACACCATCTCACAGTGAAAGGCAAGTGCAGACATCCTGGCTGCTTAGGATTCTCTACAACATTGTGGAGACTAACACTAGGTTACCTGCCTTAATTCATTTTTCATGTTCTGCTATCCAAAAGAACATCCATCACCTAGGAAGACAAGAATACGCCTGATTTCAAATCTTCAACGGAACTACTTAAACTCTTATTTGGTGAGAATGCTATTTGCTGCAAGCTTAAATCCGTCACGGTCACTCTGGACTTACAAATGGCTTTAATTCATTTAATAGATCAATAATTATTTCTAAAAATAGTTCTAATTTTTGACTAGTCATGAGGTAAGAATTATTAATTCAGTTCATTCAAAGGGAGACTGTGTAGCAGAATGGTTAAGGGACACAGCTTCTCAAAGGAGACTACATCCTGCGTTTGAATCTCAAGTCTACTAGTTACTGTGTTAACTTGGTGAAGTAACCTCCCCTCTCTAAACTTCCACCTCATTTTAAAAATGAGTGTAACAACAATTCCTAATCAATATTCTAATTCATATGGTTAATGTGACAAGTAAATGAATTTCAGATAATGCTGAGTAAGCTAAGGTACTTGCGCTAAAATAAGGCATTACATAATGCCCAGGCAAAAAAAATCAACATTCATTTACATAAAGCAGTTGCATGGTTCTAATTAATATTCCCTTCATTTAAAAAAATGGCCCAGCCTTGATTCCCATCAAGCCCAACATGCTGACTTTCAGCGCTAACCAGCTCAGTCTTCAGGATAAATGACCATGTACAATGAAAAAGATAAACCTGCCATCGCCAAGAAGCCCCAGACTTCCCCACTCAGAAGGTTGGCTGAAAAACAAAGGTCTTTTAAAATTAAAATATATAATAAAATTGGCCGGGTGCGGTGGCTGATGCCTGTAATCCCAGCACTTTGGGAGGCCAAGGCTGGTGGATCACGAGTTCAGGAGACTGAGGCCATCCTGGCTAACACAGTGAAATCCTGTCTCTAATAAAAACACAAAAAATTAGCCGGGCGTGGTGGTGGGTGCCTGTAGTCCCAGCTACTAGGGAGGCTGAGGCAGGAGATTGGTGTGAACCCGGGAGGTGGAGCTTGCAGTGAGCCGAGATGGCGCCACTGCACTCCAGCCTGGTCGACAGAGCGAGACTCTGTCCCAAAAAAAACAAAAACAAAAACAAAAAAGATATATATATGAATGTAAATTCTGGTAATTGGTTACAGGAAATTGGAAGTCACCAAAGCCAAGCCTTCCCAAGACATCTTGACCTCTGCCTGTCAGCCATCCAGCAGCGATGGGTCTTTGCTCCCTACAGAACTCTGTGGATTCTATTTCTTCCATAAGAAATAAAATGCTATATGCTGAATAAGTAAAATAGGGTGAAGTAGACACAATGACAATGTGTCTATGGAGGAGTAATTGGAAAGAAGCTATCCACACTAGCTTTTTTGGAAAAGCCTCAAAAAATCTGTGAAATTCCACCCTCAAAATCAAATTACAAAAATTGTCCACTCTTATTAACTTTGTGTTCAGCTTGATTTCTGACAACTGACTTGTTCTTCCCTGAACTATTTTTTCTTCTGCACGTAAAAGTAATATATGGGCTGGGCGCAGTGGCTCACGCCTGTGAAACAGGTTTTTTATATAACTGCAATTGCAGATTCCAATGCTCTGTGTTTTCTCTCAATTCTACCCCAATTACTAACGAAATCAGAAGTAAAAGCTATGTTTGATTATATGTGGCTTAAAAATAAAACATCTCGTAATTCCTAAGACTAAGACATAATATGAAAAGTAAAAGACAAGAGACTGAGAACAAAGGGTCTAAATTATAGTCTTAGCACTCTGCCACTAACCAGCTCCATTACTCAAAACAAGTCACTTAATTCTCAAATATTTCATCTGTAAAATTTCTTTTCATTCATTCAAGAAGCATTTATTGAAGGCCTACAATGCATGAGACTTTGTGAAAATAACAAAGACAGTTAAGATCCCTGTCCCACTGAAATGATTAAATAAGCAATTATGAAGTAGTCTAGGTAGTACAGTAGGAAAAGTAGGGGACAGTAAAGGCACACATCTGGCTGTACAAACCTAAGGAGTACCTTGGATGCCTCTCTCTGCCCATCTACCAATCCTGTCCATCACCATCACTCTGGCTACCCCTTCAAATGTCTCCACACCTCTGTCCCCTCCCCTACACTATCCCAGCTAACATCCTCTTTCCCGGTGCATTGCAGTAGCCTCTCCAATTGGGTAAACTCATGTACTCTGGCCCCTCTCTGCTTGATTCCCACATTACAGCCAAAATAAACTTTTGAAAATGTAAATCTGAACACATGTGCTAGTCTCCCTCTACCCACATATCTAATCCTCCAATGACTTCCTGTTGTTTTCAGATGGCCTAGTGAGGCACAGCATGGTCCAGCCTCCAGCTACTTCTGTAGCCTCTACCATCTCCATGCTCCTTCTCACTCTCTGTGCTGCAACCACACTGTCTTCTCTCAGTCTCTGGACATGTCAGGTCCTTCTTGCAACAGTGACTTTACACATACTTTTCCCCTGCCTAGAATACAACCACCTCTCCTTCTCCTTGGCAAAACTCTTATTCACCCTTTTGTACTTAATTCAAAAGTTGCGCTGGGCATGGTGACATGTACCTGTAGTCCTAGTTACTTTAGAGACTGAGGTGGGAGGATCTCTTGAGCCCAGGAATTTGAGACCAGCCTGGGCAACATAATGAGACCCAGTCTCAAAACAACAACAGCAAGAAAAGTTATTTCCTTGAGGAAAGTTTCCTTTATTAAATTATATCTTTCTTTAATAAAACGTCATGGTGCTGTGCACCTCTCCAGAGGTACACACAGGCTAGCATAGGAACCTAGAGTAGCAAACCTATCCTAGCAGAATCTGAGACACCAGAAAAACTGATACGTGAACTGAGTACTGGAGGAGGAATAAAAGCCATGTGGAAAAGAGAAGGGCATCTGTGACGTGAGGTTTGAAAATGAGACAATACTACATAACAGTAAGAACTCAGAAACTGGCTTCTCCTTTCTCTGTAACCTTATGGCACTTAATACACTGTGGGGAATATTGCAGTTGCTCATTGTACATTTGAACTAAACATTGACTAAATACCAGTATCTAAAAACAAACTTACCTACTGTACAAACTTGAAAAATAGATTAAAAATATGCCCCTTGCAACTAATATTTATGTAACCAAGGAGCATATTATATATAAAAAAAAAAAACTATCCTGTTTGCTAACACTAGGATTTTAAAGAAATTTTCTTAGATAACATTATTTTTCATTCTTTGCTGCCCCTTTCTTAGTGTTGATAGTAGAGGGTAACCATATATAATAACAAATTATCATCAATATTTTAATGTTTGAAGGTCATAAAAATATAACCCAAGAATTATGACAGTCTAAGAGCAGCTTATATTCAAGTCATCTGCTATACTTTCATCTGCTAAACACACAATAAATGCACTGAAATGTCTAGTTTTTAAGTTTAATTAAAATTTACATTAGGAACTAACCAGCTGAATTCTAGAATTCTTCTCATCTTAAGAGAGTAAAACATTCTCCAATTTTAAAAGGCTAAAAAATATGGTCTTCGGGGCTGACACTCTGATATTGGAGAGAATTGTGAATTCATTTCTCTGCTGCCATGTGGAGTTATAAGAAATGCTGCCCACATAAAGTAAGTTGCATTAGAAACAATGACACTCTAGCAGCAATGAGCACACCTATCACCTAGATGTTGGTCTCTAAATACCGTTGTACAATAAAAGAGACCAGGAATCCTTGAGAAAATGGTTCATTCCAGGATTGAGGCATGGAAAATGTAAGATGAATCTGGAACAATGTATGATTCCAGAATGAAAGTTAATGCTCAAAAAAAGGATAGGGCTTATCAAAAGAACATAGGAGTCAACCTAAAGGAGCCCTAATGGCCAAAGCTAGAATAATTAAAGCAGTAAAATAAATAATACTGTTTAATTTAAACTGACACAACAAAATAAATATCCATGAGTCCATTCTGATATTTTAAAAACGGGGGAAAAGGGATAGCTCTTCCTTACAATGGAATTTCAATTAGCAAATGTAGAAGAGGGAAGCAGAAAATTCACAACAGGCAAACACTATGGTAATAATCATTGCAGACAAGATGCACCAATGGATGCCAAAATTAGTAGGGATAAATGTGAGGCAAAACAACATTTGCATAGTGTTTTATCTTTTGGAAAATATTTATTAATCACAAAAGGAAATATGGTAACTTTACAGTGGAAAAAGTCAGCAGACACTACCTTCGCCAACTGATCACCAGTAATAAGAAGTATCATGATCCCCCTGATACGGTGCACTGAGAAGGACACAGGATCATTTCTGTGGTATTCTCCCAAAAATGCATGACCTCATTCCAATCCTGAAAAAACATCAGCCAAACCCAGACTGAGAATATTCTCCAAAATAACTGTGATGAGTACTCTTCAAAACTGTCAAGATCACGAAAGAAAAGAAAAAACAAGGAACATGTTGGAGGAGACTAGGTAATTAAATGTAACTGGGATGCTGGGTAGGATCCTGGAACAGAAAAAGGATACTAGAAAAACTGGTAGAATCAGACTGGGTGCAGTGGCTCACACCTGTAATCCCAGCACTTTGGGAGATAGAAGCAGGCAGATCACCTGGGGTCAGGAGTTCGACACCAGCCTGGCCAACATGGTGAAACCCCGTCTCTACTAAAAATACAAAAATTAGCCAGGCGTGGTGGCATGCACCTGTAAGCCCAGCTACTCAGGAGGCTGAGAAAGGAGAATCGCTTGAACCCGGGAGGTGGAGGTTTCAGTTGGCCAAGATTGCACCACTGCACTCCAGCCTGGGCAACAGAGTGAAGCTCCGTCTTAAAATTAAAAAAAAAAAAAAAAGTGGTGTTACTGATCATTCTACTTTGGAGACAAAAGCAGTATGGCAAACAAAAGTGGGTTTTGTTTGTGTATCCGCTCTATGACTTTATCTCCTACTCTGCATACTGCCCCACCCTCAGAGGCAGGCTCTGGGTGACCAGAGGCAGTGAAGGGCATTACACACAGCCTGCTGGGAAAGGGGCACAGATTATAGCAATTTTCTCAAGTCTCACACTGAAATCAGGGAAGAAAACTCATATATTCTATTCATGGGTCCTATAAAGATAATTCTCAAGTGAAGAAAGAAACAGAGGTGGGGATATGGGAGTAGTGAGTAGGAGGGAAGAAAAAACATTAGTTTGCCAAGAAGATTCTTTAAAATATTTTTGTTTGTGTAGAAGATAGAGAAAGCAGTCACCTGGGAAAATGGCTGGAATCTAGAACTTTATCAATACCTTCACACTGTATTAATTTAGTCGAGCAGTTTGAACATTCTTTTGTTTTTCTTTTAAAAATATTACACTGATAAATTAACCATGTCTATAAAGGGTCAAAATCACCTTTCACTTTTCATCAAAACAATTACATTTTTCAAGTCTCATAAGACAGCTCATGACTTTAGACTCTCATTTTATAAGACCTTTGTAGAAAGGAGGACTTTTCCTCTACCTTTCACAGTATTTCAGCATTAAGGAATATAAGCACAACAAAAGTTCTCGTGAATAATCAAACTGAAGAGGCATGTGGAGTCCAGAGAACTGGGGAATCATCTGAGAGGACAGAAAGAACATGGGCCCTGGAGTAAGACAGGCCTGAAATAAAATCTCAGTTCTGTGACTTACTAGCTCCTGGATCCTAATCAAGTTCTTTTAACCTCAATGAACTTTAATCACCTTGCCTGCAAAATGGTGAAAATGTCACTTAAGTACTGTAAAAATTAAATAAGACAACTGCATATAAAATGCTTGGCCTATGGAATTCATTCAAAAAATATTATTAGTTCCTTCCACCTTTGTCTTTTTCATTGTTAAAGAGGTGTTTTCTGAAAACATACCGATTGAAGTTAATGTCTGGGTAACTAGAATACTCCGATTTCATCTTAGCATTTCGTCGTGGAAATGTGCAGAAGAAAGCATTAGCTAAAAGACTGGCAATCTGTTCCTGCGACATTGTGATGGAATGATTCATCTTCTGTTTCAGGAGTGGTATTGGCTGATAAAAGAAACAAAAAAATACAGACGAGAAGAGCAATAATTAGTTTAGCAATTTCAAAAGCAGAGGCACCAAATTGCATTTGCTAAATTAAGGCAGAAATAATTTCAGGCCATTCTTGAATCCTTAAATCAGCAATATTGTAAAAGTCAAGGGCTGTTTATCAGGGATGATTCAGAAAATGCACTTATTTGACAAACTGCAGATTTCTAATCAATAATAATGATAGTGAAGAGAATATAAAACATTACTTATTAGTGAAAAACAAGATTGCTTCAGCAAGTAAATAAAAACACATTGCCCATGTAATGAAAAATTAAAACAAAAGATGAAACAAAAATATATAACATTGTTTAAGCTAAATTTTGTTCTTATTTATATTAAAAATTATTGGCCAGAATAATCTTTCTTAGTCCTCAATAAAATGATCTAAGATAATTCAACAAATAAGTCTTGACCCTCTTATTCCAAATTACACTTCATACTCACAATTTCTTTATAAGAATCAAATCTAACTTCATTAAAGCTATTAATAGAACATGTAAAAACCACCATACGGACATGCATAAGTTGTAAAAAGATAAGACATTTCTTACATAACCAAACATTCCAAGTCAAGGAAGATGTAAGACATTTTTCCTTCAAATCTTTTATGTCTAAAATGTCTTCTAGTTATGCCACCAAATTCACTTACCTTTTATTGTCAGTATAATCCACACGACCTGAGTATTGTGTTCAGTGGGTTTTATTCTGTTTGTAAACCAAAAATAAAGTTCCAAGACCCCCAACCAACTGAATGAACCCCTCCTCTCGACCAAGGGGATTCCAAAGTTAACCTGAAACACTAGTCCACACCATGATAGGAAGTGTGGGTCTGACACGCCTCATTATATGCTCCTCACTTTAGAATTCAGCACAAGTGACCAGCATTAACAAGAAAACAGAGACCTTAAAACTGATGAAACAAATCTTTTTATAATAATAAGACTCAATTCCAGCCTGACTCGAGTATAGCATCACATGACAGATAGCAGACCTTGAAAGAATTGAAGTATTTTACCCCAAAATATATTTCTTTGACATATTTTGAAATAGCCCTGCAAAGCTGTCTGTTGGGAAAATGTACATTCTGTAAAGAATCCCTATTCCTTTCCAGGTGAGAATTAAGAAAGGGCGTGGTACCTTTTTAGATCTGATAAAAGCTCTGAAGCTACAAGGTTTCATCCACATCATAAAACCTTGGTCTCCACAAACCCTTATCTTAACCCAGATATTCCTTTCTGTTGATTCCAGGTCTTTGGATAATAACTGTTCCAACCAATTGCCAATCAGAAAATCTTTGAATCTACCTAAGACCTGTAAGCCCCCTTTACATGTATTGATTGATGTCTTATGTCTCCCTAAAATGTATAAAGCCAAGCCTGACCATCTTGGGCACATGTTCTCAGATCTCCTGGGGCTGTGTTACAGGCCACTGGTTACTCCCATTTGGCTCAAAATAAATCTCTTCAAATATTTTACAGAGTTTGACTCTTTTTGTCAACATATTTTAAATATTAAACTATGTTTTTAAAGACATGCTGATAAAATCAAAGACCAACTACCAGTTTATCCTTCAGCTGTTAAGTTTCAAAATGCTCCCACAGAATATTTAGAGATGCATTTCATTCTCCCCTTCAGTAAGACCCAGAACTAAGAGTTTCAGGTAACTGCACTCATCTCAAAATGGCATGCCTAGAGCAAACTGTCCTGATCATACCTCAGGAGTGGACACCCAGAATGAACCTGAGGAAAGGGCAGGCAAGACAAACCAAAACTGCGGTGCTGAATAATGAATGCTTTTCTAAGTACAGAAGTACACACCACTGCTAGAATAAGAGTTTGCCAGAAAAAAGAACAGATTAAACTTGCAATTCAACTATTTCTCTTGGAAAAATTCAAAGGTAAACAAATAAGCAAAAGGTAAAGAATATTTTCACTATGTTATACAAAATTCTCTCCCCTTCAGGTCTTAGCAATCACCATTTCTGAGAAAAATAGAGAGCTCATATTGATCTCCATTTTCCATCCCGTGCATTTGTTCACAACCAAGCAACGAGTTTAGAAAAGGTGACAGTGCATCAATGGCTTCAAGCAAAGTGCTGCTTGGTTTTAGGAAGAAATGAGTTTTTAACTACCATTTACCAAGTTATTCAGAAAAATGATTTTAAAAATTAATAGTAAAGATTTCAGGATTAATGGACTTCAAACACAAACATTTCCTGTCTCCCAAATAAACAAATAGTATAATTTTAAATAGAGTTAATGATTTCTCCTCTCTTGGTGAGGAGAAATGCCTAAAAACTCATTATTTGGAGAAATCAGGAGATGTAAATCTTACTGTCAAGCAATCGGCTCAACAAAATAAGAGGCTGGTTACTGTGAACCAAGATATTTCAAAAAGTTCCTGACCAAATTTGTTTCCTTTAATTTTATTTTGATAAATCTAAAATTTACCCTTTAGATTTGGCCTAGAGTACTTCAATGTGATAAATTATTAAACACCAACATATACAATTTAACTTGCCACAAGACGTATTTTGATCTCAAATAAAAATCTTAACTTTCACAGCAGAGATTGACTTTTCAATAGGGGGCAAAGCACAGAATTTCCATGCTCTCCCCGTTGATATGCTAATGGAGAAGAAAGTCACTGGGAGAAGCCAGGACAAAAAGCTGAGGACTCAGGGGTCTGATTTTGGTTCCAAGGGACTTGTTATAGCTTACAAAGTTAGATACCTTTGAACAAAAATTTCTCATTAAATAAAATATGGAAACTCTCATATGCACGAGGGGAAGAGGATTAAATGGCCCACACCCAAAGGCTACCTACTACCTATTATTGATTATGAACTACATATTGAATTCAAAAAGCATATAATTAAGCACCATGCAAACCAGGGACACAAAGAGGATCTCCCTTTAAGGAGACTATAATCCAGTGGCAAGAGATATATAATGACAAGAATTACAAAACAATGATTTGAGTGCTTCAAGAGGGATGAACCTTGCCTGGGAGGCAGGGAAGGCTTCACAGGGGAAGTAACAGACAGGCATACCTAGGAGGTAGGGAGAGAATTTACTAAGTAAGGAGAGAAAGGAAAAAGAACAAACATGGAATATGATCAAGCAAATAACTTCCAACAGAAACAAGAAGATATGTTTTAAAATATATTTCCCCTGCCCAATAGTAAAACTTATTTCAGGCACAATGCATTACTGAGGTAAAATTAAAGTTACATAAAATTGAAAACATCACACTGGAAAACATTTCATGGGTCTCAACTGAAGGTGGCATAGTCCAAGAAGGCATTTGGACATGTATGCGTTGTTTTCTGGTTGCCCCAGTGACCCTATTTGTGGTTTTTGGGGTGTCCTAATGACATACTGCAATGCATGGGACCATTATACACATTCAGAAATTGTTCCACCCAAATGTCCATAGGGCCCCTGTGGAGTAAAATGCTAGCAGAACCCTGGCTAGCAGCCATGCAGCAAGAGGCGTTGGCCCTAGAAATAAAAGACAAAGGCAAATTCAAGCACGGTTGTGAGAAACACAGGAATAAAATTATGAACAAAACAAACCCTGTGGAGGTTTGAAAATACGTTCACAAATTCTTTGATGCTCCTCTCTTTAAGAGGTGGAGTCTTGGGCACGGTGGCTCATGCCTGTAATTTCAGCACCATGGGAGGCAAAGGCGGGCGGATCACATGAGGTCAGGAGTTCGAGACCAGCCTGGCCAAAATGGTGAAACTCCGTCTCTGCTAAAAATACAAAAAAATTAGCCGAGTGTAGTGGCACACGCCTGTAGTCCCGGCTACTCAGGAAGCTGAGGCAGGAAAATCACTTGAACCCAGGAGGCAGAGGTTGCAGTGAGCCAAGATCATGCCACTGCATTCCAGCCTGGGGGACAAGGATGAAATTCAGTCTCAAAAAGAAAAAAAAAAAAAAAAACAGGTGGTCTAATACCCCTCCCCCTGGGTACTGGCTAGCTTCCAATGAACAGAAAAACAGCAGAAGTGATGCTAGGTACCTTGAGAAAAATAGGTCATAGAAGACACTGCAGCTTCCTTGCTCTCTCCCTTGGATTGCTTGCTCTGGGGAAGTTAGCTATTATGTCATAAGGACAATCAATCAGCCTATAGAGAGGCCCATGTCAGGGCGTTCTGCCAACAGCTCTGTAAGTAAGCCAACTTAGAGGTGTGTCCTTCAGCCCCAGGCAAGCCTTCAGATGACTGAAACCCTGGCTGACATCCTCACCGCAACCACGAGAGAAATCCTGATCCACAACCACTCAGTCAGCTAATCTGCTCCCAAAGTCAACAGAAGCTGTGAGATAATACATGTTTATTGTTTTAAGCCATTAATTTTGACATAATTTGTTATGTAGCAATATATAATTAACGTACTCCAAACAAAATAAAATACAGGATTCTTTATTTTTAAAAGTTAAGGCTGGCACAGTGGCTCACACCTGTAATCCCAGCACTTTGGGAGGCCAAGGCATCATCTGAGGTCAGGAGTTTGAGACGAGCCTGGCAAACATGCTGAATACTCGTCTCTACTAAAAGTACAAAAAGTAGCCAGGTGTGGTGGCGCACGCCTGTAATCCCAGCTACTTGGGAAGTTGAGGCACAAGAATTGCTTGAACCCAGGAGGCAGAGGTTGCAGGGAGCTGGGATTTGTGCCATCGCACTCCAAAAAAAGAAACTTAGCCGGGTATGGTGGTACATGCCTATAATCCCAGCTACTTGGGTGGCTGAGGCAGGAGAATTGCTTGAATCCAGGAGGTGGAGGATGCAGTGAGCCAAGATTATGCCACTGCACTCCAGCCTGGGTGACAGAGCAAGACTCTGTCTCAAAAAAAGTTAAGAAAGTATCATTAACTCATTTGTTGTAGAATTTGGGGGAGGGTGAGGAAGGAGTGGGTCGTATTAAGCCATTTTGAAAATACGCTATTCCAAATCCACTAGTATGTTTTGAAATAATGAATACTTTTTTAAGTTAGAGGTTATTTAAACAAAGAGAGAAAAAAGTCAAAGTAAACAAGCTTCAACAGTGTAAACAGAAGCTGAGGAATGGAATGCTGCATTTTTAATGTCCTTTTGTAGTACTCTCTACCCTCTAACCTTTTCCTTAATACAGCAAAATTACTATACTCTTTGGCAAAAACTGTTTCCCATTTCTTCTCTTCTCTTCCTCTCTCTCTCTCTCTCTCTCTCTCTGTCTCTCTGTCTCTCTCTCTCTCTCTGTGTGACCCTGGCCATTCGAGTTTAAGGGAAATTCAATTGGCAGTCTCAGGGAAGCTACTGAGGAAGCTACATCCACTAACCTGGGTGCAAATATTTGGCAGACAGAGTGCAATTTTCACCATATCAGGCAAGATGGACTGATATAAATGTTGAGCTTCTGCTTCTTCAAGTACCTGAAAACCAATAAAATAAGTTATGTGAATAACAATAACCAGTAAATATAATAACTAATGAATATGTTTGTTATGAAATTAAATTACATATCTGCTTTTCATGGAACCCCATAAAGTGGCACCCTATCAGCATCACCAAACACATGTACAAATGCATCAACAGGTGTATACAAATAAACTTCCAAATTCATTTCCAAATGTATATTTGGCATTAAGGCAATTCACCTTAATGCCCTCTGAAAAAAAATGTAAGTATCCCAAATATCAAATATCCCTCACACAACATTCACAATAAAGTAAAAACACTTGCAAATGGAAAACAGTACATTCTGCCCTTGGTTGTATCAACTAGAAACTGCTAGACACCAAGGACTTTCTGAGAAGCCCCCAAGGACCCATCTAGTTTCAATGGTCTACAATTGAAGAAATCTCCATAAAAGCCACATTAATGACTTCAGAGCATACTCTATGGGTCAAATCTAATCTGTTGGGTAATAAACAATGAGGTTTCTGATGGTCTTAGAATTTCTCTTTTCCAGACACCCTTGGGAAGTGAAAACCACAATTCCCATATAAAAATTTGAAGCACAACAAAGATGCCATGCATGGTCCATTTTTGTCTTTTATAAAATTTCCCCTCTCTATAACACCTTTTAATCTAATGTCTTTCTAAACATCAGGGTATTTCTTTAAAAGTACTGGAAATGACAACACTCTTAATTTAGAGATACTACATATACAGTCAGGACTGAAGTAAATACTTTATCTACTTGAAATCACATTTTAACTAGAAGAGGCCTCAGTTATAATCTGGTCTGAGCTTGTCACTATTACAGAGAAAACTGAGGCCAAGGAGGTTACCTGATCATCCTACATTGAGGTCAATTAAAACCAAATCAGAACAAGAACCTAAGTGTTCTGGCCTCTATGCCACAGCTCTTCCTACTTCCCTATGTGACCAATGTTTGGAATCGATGAAGAAACAGACTCTTGACAAAAATCAGGAACTAAACTGAAATAAAGGTAAAACCATTTGTTTATCTGCAGCTGGACAGGGTATGTGTGTAAATAGAAAAAGTAACAAAGAATATTTGCCCTGATTTTGCCAGTAAATTCTAACACTAAGAATTTTCTTTACACCAAAACTCTAAAACCCAACCTATGTTTACTTCTCTTTTAAAATTAAGATAATGAGTAAACACATTCAGAATGAAGAGAAGGATATTTGTAATTCAGAGAGTTGGAAATTCAATTAGTCATAAGCATACAGAAAATTAAACAAAAGACAATTATTAATTCTGGAGAAAACAAAAAGTTGCTTAAGAGAGGAAAAGCAATCACAGCCCATATATGAATAGTGTTTATACTATCCAACTGAAAAAAAACTACTGATGTAATTGAAATGAGTATGAAAACTATAGTGAGAAAATGCGGAGGTAGAAATGATGTTTGCATTCATGGTAGTGGAGAAAGTGAGAATAAGAGCTAAATCCTAATCTTCTAAAGTGGGACTTGTTTTAAAAAGACTTTAGAGTAGTCAAATGACTGCCTCTTTATAATCTGCCTCTTTAACTCTGTTAAAAATAAAAAAACTAAATTTTTAAAAAATCATATATTCATAGATGACATTCTACTATTTTACAGGTATGCACTAAAGATACTGGCTTCTCTATATCTGAAATGTATGAAAATGTATAAAATATATTAATGCATTTGTTTAAAATATTCAAACTCTTCCTGTTTATAATTTATCTTTTTTTTTTTTTTTAATAGAAACAGGGTCTTGCTCTGTTGCCCAGGCTGGAGTGCTGTGGCATGACCATAGCTCACTGTAACCTTGAACTCCTGGGCTCAAAAAATCTCTTCCTGCCTCAGCCTCCTGAGCAGCTAGGACTATACAGGCCTTTTTGCTTTTTAAAACTATGTATTCTGAAATAATTATAGATTTACAGGACGTTATAGTACAGTATACCTCTCACCCAGTTTCTCTCAATGGTTACATTTCACATTACTATAACATACTAAAAACCAGGAATACCAGTACAATGTGTATCATTCTATGCCATTTTATCACACGTACATTTCTGTAATCGCCACCAAAATCAAGATGCAGAACCATTCCACTACAATAAAGATCTCATGCTACCCATTTATAGTCACACTCAGCTTCCTTCCTCTCGCTATTCCTAACACCCACTAATTTGTTTTTCAGCTGAAAAATTTTGCCATGTTACCTACATGGAAACATACAAGTCTTTTGAAATTGACTTTTTTTACATGGCTTAATGCCCTTAAAAGGCATTCAAGTTATTGCAAGTATCAATAGTTCACTCCTCCTCATTACTAAGTAGAATTCCATGGTATGAATATAATATTATATAATATTCCATGGTTTGTTTAGCAATTTCACCTACTGAGAGGCACTTTGGTTGTTTTCAGTTTTGTACTATTATAAATAAAGCTATCTTTAGTCTCAACCTATCTATATTGTTGTCTGAAATCACTTCCTGTAAACAGCACAGTGTGTCATTTTTAAAATTCACTCTGCACATCTGTCTTTTAATAGATGAATTTAGGTCATTTATGTTTAATGTAGTCTTTGATATGTTGAAACTTAAATCTGTTATTTCATTTTCTTTCTTTTATCTGTTTTCTTTTCCCTTCCTCCTTATGGGTTACTTGAACATAGTTTAAAATTCCATTTTTGTTTATCTAAAATGTTTCTGACTGCATCTCTTTGAATAGATTTTTTTTTAAAGTAGCTGCTGAAGGACTGCATTACATATAACTTACCAACATTTACTGGTGTCAACATTTCACCAGTTCCAGTGAAGTGTAGACTTTACCTTCCTTTAAATTCCTTTACCCTTCTCCATTTATAATCTTCAATATTTCCTCTACATACATTGATAACTATACTATTTTACAATATTTGAAAACAGTGAAAAAAGTCAAACATAATTTACAACACTCAAAAAAGTTTTTAAAAAGTCTATTACATTTACTATATTTTTACTCTTTGTTGTTCTTTCTTCTTTCCTGATGTTCCATGATTCCTTTTTTTTATAATTTCTTTTCTGTTTCAGGAAATTTCTTTAGACATTACTTTATGTTAGGTTCACTGATGTCAAGTTCTGTTTTCCTTCACCTGAGAACATTGTGGTTTCCTCTTCCTTTCTGAAGAACATCTTAATTAGATATGGAATTCTGGGTTGACAATTCTTTCCTTAGTCCTCAAAATTTTGTGTCACTTCTTTCTGGTCTCCATGTTTGCTGCTGAGAGATCCGTTGTCATTCAAACTGTTTTCTGTATAGGCATTGTGTCATTTCTCTCTTGATGCTTTCAAGATTTTTTCTTTGCCTTTGGTTTTAAGAAATGTAATTATAGTATGTCTTGGTATGAATTTCTTTGGGTTTATCCTACTTAAGTTTTGGTCAGCTTCTTGAATCTGTAGATTTATGACTTTTGTCAAATTTTGGAAGTTTTCAGCCATTATTTCTTTGAATATTTTTTCAGTCCCACCCTCTTTCCCCTCCCTTTCTGTCCACACAAAGACACAAATGTTATATCTAAACTCTGGGTTTTGTTTTTTCATCTATTTTCTCACTGCTGTTCAGACTGAGTAATTTCTCTTAATTTCTTCCAAGTTCACTGATTCTTTCCTCTATCATCTCCATTCTCCATTAAACCTGTCTATTCCATTTTAAAAATTCAGTTATTATATTTTTCAGTTCTAAAATTTCCATTTGGTTTCTCTGGATAGTTTTTTTTTTTTTCTTTGCTGGGACTTTCTGTTTTTTTCATTTGTTTCAAGTATGTTTATAATTGCTCAGCCTTCTTGTGATGGCTACTTTAAAATAATTGTCAGACAATTCACATCTGTATTCTCCTGGTGTCTATTGATGTTCATTTTTCATTTCAGTTGAGATTTTCCTGATTCTTTTCTGGTCATGAGGGACATTTTGTTGAAATTTGGATATTTGGGGTATTATAAATCTTTAGATCTTATTTAAATCTTCAGCCAGAGCAGGCTTTCTGTGATACTGTGCCAGCAGGGGAATGGGATAGCTACTTCATTACCAGCAATTGAGGGTAAAAATTCATGTTCCCCAGTCAGCCTTTAGTACCCAAAGTGGAAAGTGAGAGAGGTACCTTGATAGTGCTGGGTTGGGGTGAGAGTTCAAGCTCCCCACTAGGTCTTTACTGATACCACTTTGGTGCCATGTACTCTCCTAGGGTCCCATAGTCCCTGCTGGTCAGTGGTCTTCTACCTTTCAGAGTCTTATGTTTGTTTTACATACAAGGTCCCCTGTTTTTCACTGTAATTAGTGGGAAGGACAGAGAGAAGTGCCTATTCAACCATGTTAAACCTAAAGATATTAAACCTTAAGTGTCTTAACAGGCTGACACGTCTCCTTTGGGTATCCATCTTTGTCTTTTAAAACTGACATGAGTGGCTACTGCAGCGCTCTGCTGACAAGCTTTACAATGTTGCTTATTTATCTGATGAAGCATTATTGCACTGTACTTCTTCACAACTGTCAACACTCCAGACCTATGTCTAATGCTGCTTTGGAAACACAAAAAGGGAACCTAAAAATGTCATTTAAGAACATAAGTGACTAAACTACTGTTTGAGATGGAATGCATAATCTAAAATATCACCATGACCTTATAACCTGTACAACGCAAACTGGGATGCAAGTAGGGAAAAGTTATTTAAGATGTACGTCATTTCTTAACTTCACGAAAAGCAAGAGCCATTGGTCAAATCTTCCATAACAATTAAAGAAAAATAAACATGTATTACTTATTATGATGATAATGATGATTATAAGGGAGGTAAGCATTTACATGATGGTAAAAAAAGAAAGTTGTATTAAATTCTCCCACAAGTAAAACCCTGCCCTCTACTGGATAGTCTGCATAGATAATTACACACAGCAAGTGTTTTGATCTGTGCGTGTGCGCGTGTGTGTGTAGCAACTTTTTATTCTAGTCCCACAAATTGGCTGTATATATATGTAATATATATTATACATATATTTCAGTCAGGATTGATACAATAAATTTCAAAATTATACTGCTATTTTGCCTATCTCCTTTCCTTAGATTATAGATCTGTTCATTCATTCGATTGGCTGATAAACAAATACCTGAGGAACTATTATGTGTCAGGAATTGTGCCAGAAGATGACAGAAGAGTAAACAGTTAACAGACGTGGTCACTGACCTCATGAATCTCATGGCACAAAGCCCTATCCTCTCCCTGTGACCCCCAACACATCAGCCCTAACCTAGGAGGGCAGTAATAACTGCAACCACATCATAGTGACTGTGGACAGGCTATTTTTTTTTCTTCTCTCCACAAATAGAAACAAGCTACTAAAATAAAGGAACTAAATCTGCCAAACATCAAAACATTATAAATATTTAAATATCTACAAACATCCAAATAGAAAAGAGATATTTACTTATTTCTTCTTTCTTTGAATATCTGATTAACTACATACATCTGTTAAATGTGCTCTAATATTTATGAAAGACATATTTATACATGACTAAGTACTATACCTGACATATGGAAAGTATTAAATATTGACTACTGAACTTTGAATTAATAAGTGAAATCTGTAGCTTGCAACATGAGAAGACCAGTGTTATTTCAATAAAAGAAAATATTTCCATAGATCTTTTTCAAACAGTTTAGGGCAAACAGCTTTAAAAAAGTAATCAGGCCGGGCGTGGTGGCTCATGCCTGTAATCCCAGCACTTTGGGAGGCCAAGGCAGGCAAATCACCAGGTCAGGAGATCAAGACCATCCTGGCTAACATGGTGAAACCCTATCTTTACTAAAAATACAAAAAATTAGCCAGGCGTGGTGGCACATGCCTGTGGTCCCAGTTACTCGGGAGGCGGAAGCAGGAGAATTGCCTGAACCCGGGAGGCAGAGGTTGCAGTGAGCCGAGATCGTGCCACTGCACTTCCGCCTGGGCGACAGAGTGAGACTTTGTCTCAAAAATAAATAAATAAAAAATAAAAAAATAAAAAAAAATCAATCACAAATCAATGAATACAAGAAATAGCACAAGCTGCTCCATTTTCTCTATTGGTCTAAACCTAGTTAGATACTAATAAAATTGTGAAAAGTTACTAACAATCCTCTTTAATAAAAAAAATCAAAATCTATATGAAACGTCTAGGATGTGAAATTTTAGACAATTTTTCAATAAGAAGTACACCACTCCAAAACCTAAATAGCAAAGAGGAAATATCCTCATAATCCTATGGTCCATATATATATATATATATATATATATATATATATTTTTTTTTTTTTTTTTTTTTTTTGAGATAGCGTCTCACTCTGTCACCCAGGCTGGAGTGCAGTGGCATGATCTCAGCTCACTGCAACCTCCACCTCCCAGATTCAAGCGATTCTCCTGCCTCAGCCTCCTGAGTAGATGAGACTACAGGCACACACCACCACACCTAGCTAATTTTTGTATTTTTAGAGATGGGGTTGCACCATGTTGGCCAGGCTGGTCTCAAACTCCTAACCTCAGGTGATCCACCTACCTCAGCCTCCCAAAGTGCTGGGATGACAGGCATGAGCCTGTAATACTGAAGATGGGTGATGGAAACAGGGAGGTTCATTACCCCATTTTATTTTTGTATATGTCTGAAATGCTTCTTTAAAAAAAAATTTCCTGGCCGGGCGTGGTGGCTCACACCTGCAATCCCAGCACTTTGGGAGGCTGAGGTGGGTGGATCAACTATGTTCCTAATAGTAACATAACCAATATTTATACCTAAGTTTCTTTTTCCTCATACATAGGTGCATTTATCAGTTGAAATTATGTTGCTCAATTTCGTATTTTTTCTCACCAAATATGACAAAAAAGGCATTTTTTACATCACTAAAGGCAAAATGTTTTTTAAAATGTCATGTATTTTCACTGAAGAAAATTAATGTAAACAAAAAGAAAAGAAATATTACCCACAAGCCCACTGCCAAGATATCCTCTTCTCAGATATAAACAGATGCATATTTCCTCCCCAAACTTCTTCTGAGAACTTAGGTGTGTGTGCATATAAACACACAGTTTTGTGTTACCTTAATTTTTAAAATATTATATTTTTCTACAACTTGTTTTTGCCTTAAGAGAAAGCCTAAAAAGTCTTTCTGTATTATACAATGACAAATGCTACACAGTATTCCAAAGTAGAGAAGTACAATAATTTTTGTAATCATTCCCCTTTGAGAACCATTTTTCCCAACATTTTTAAAAATTTCAAAAATATGGTGAAGTTAAAATAACTGTACACTGAATACCCAAATACTATTTGGTTTCTATGATTAACATTTTATATTGGCTTTTGTCATGTTGTCATCAGTCCATTCTTCTGACCACATATCAATGCATTTTTTAATGCGTTTTGAGGTAAGTTGCAAGCATTCCACCCCATCACTTCAGTTTGCAGATCAGCAACTAGAGTTCACGCCAGGCACGGTGGCTCACCCCTGTGATCCCAGCACTTTAGGAGGCCAAGCCAAGTGGATCACTTGAGGTCAGGAGTTCAAGACCAGCCTGGGCAAGATGGTGAAACCCTATCTCTACTAAAAATACAAAAATTATTTTATGGTATGAATACATCCACAATTTGTTTATTCATTCTCTTGTTGATAGATACCTGGGCTGTCCCCAGGTTTTGGCTATTATAAGTAAAACTGCTATAAACATTCTTCTACAAATCTTTTTGTGTGCATATATTTTCATATCTCATAGGTAGGTAGAGAAAGAAATGAAATTAATGGGTAATAGGGTAAGTATATGTTCAGTTTTTCTAAAAAACAGCCAGACCCTTTTCCAACATTGTAGTACATTTTAAACTCCCAACAACAAAGTATGAGAGTTGCAACTGCTCCATATCGCTACCTACATTTGATCTTTTAGTCTTTCTAGTGCCTGCAGGCTAATATCTTATTCTAGTTATAACTGGCATTTCTCCAGTGACAAATAATATCAAGCATTTTTTAATGTGCTTATTGGCAATTTGTATACCTTCCTTTGTGAAATCCTTTCAAACTCTTGCTCATTTTCTAGCGAGGTTGGCTGTCTTTTTATTTTTCAATTGTAGTTCTTTATATATTCTGGATACATGTCCCTTGTCAGATAAACATTTTGCAAATATTTCGCCGTCTTTTAAAATTTATTTATTTCTATTTATTTATGTGAGACAGGGTCTCACTGTGTCGCCAAAGCTGGAGTGTCGTGATGCAATCACATCTCACTGCAGTCTTGACCTCCCAGGCATCAACCCTGTCACCCTCAGCCTCCCAAGTAGCTGGGACTATAGGTGTGTGCCAACATGCCTGGCTAATTTTTGACTTTTTTTTTTTTCCTTTTTTTTGAGATGGAGTCTCCCTGTGTTGCCCAGGCTGGGGTGCAGTGGCGCGATCTTGGCTCACTGCAAGCTCCGCCTCCCAAGTTCACGCCATTCTCCTGCCTCAGGCTCCCGAGCAGCTGTGACTACAGGCACCCGCCACCACGCCCAGCTAATGTTTTTTTTTGTATTTTTAGTAAAGACGGGGTTTCACAGTGTTAGCCAGGATGGTCTTGATCTCCTGACCTCGTGATCCACCCACCTTGGCCTCCCAAAGTGCTGGGATTACAAGTGTGAGCCACCATGCCCGGCCTAATTTTTGGATTTTTAATAGAGACCATTGCCATGTTGTCCAGACTGGTATTGAACTCCTGGGCTCAAGCAATGCATCTACCTCAGCCTCCCAAGCTGCTGAGATTACAGGTGTGAGCCACCACACCTGGCCTCCAAGAGATCCTTCCACCTCAGCCTCCCAAGGAGCTGGGACCACAGGCATGTGCCACCATGCCCAGCTAATTAATTTTTTTTTTTTTTTTTTGTAGAGACAAGGTCTCCCTATGTTGCCCAGGTTGGCCTTGAACTCTTGTACTCCAGCGATCCCTCTGCCTTGGCCTCGCAAAGTGCTGGGATAACAGGCATGAGCCAATGCGCCTGGCATCCCTGTCTTTAGCTTGCCTATTTTCCTAATGTCTTTTCGTCACAAGTATTTATAAGTTTTTTTCTTTTATAGCTAAGGTTTCCCATTAGCTATAAAAGCTGTAGGTCCTAGGAAATCTTTGTCGACTCCCAAGCTACAAAGATGTTTTCCTCTAGAAGCTTTATAGTTTTTGCTTTTTCAGTTAGAATTTAGAATTATTTTCTATGTATAGTATGTGGGAAGGGGCAATTTTTTTTTTAAGCCCACATGGAAATCCAGTTTCGCCAACACCATTTGTTGAAAAGACACTTCTTTTCCCTTGTTGTATTGCTTTGGCACTTTTGTTGAAAACCAAATGACTGTATAAACATGGGTCTGTTTCTGGGTTTACTACTTCGTTCCACTGATCAATTTGATTGTTATGTCAGTATCATATTGTATTCATTTCCTTGAGCTGCTGTGACAAAGAACCACAAACCAGGCAGCTTAAAACAACAAAAATGTATTATCTCACAGTTCTGGAGTCTAGAAATCTGAAACCAGTTGTTGGTAGTATCACGCTCCCTATGAAGGCTCTAAGGCTCTTCCTGGTCTCTTCCTAGCTTCTGGTGGCTTCTAGCAATCCTTGGGGTTCCTTGGCATGCAGATACATCAGTCCAATCTCTAACTCCATCATCATATAAGCGTTTTCCCTCAGTGTCTTTGTCTCTGTGTCCTTTCCTTCTCTCATAAGGACACCAGTCATTGATTTAGGGTACACCATAATCCAGTGTGGCCTCATCTTAACTAGTTACATCTGCAAAGACTGTATTTCCAGATAAAGCCACATCCTGAGAGTCCAGGTGAACATTAATTTGGGGGGACATTATTCAACTCACCACACATACTGTCTTGTTTACTGTAGTCTTATTGTAAGTATCCAAAGCAATTCACGTTAGTCTGCAAACTCTGCCCTTCTTATTTACAATTTCTTTGTAAATAAGGGTCCTTTGTGTTTCCATATAAATTTTAGTAATCAGCTTTGCATTTTCTACAAAATGCCTGCTTGGTATTATGATTGGAACTGCATACAGGGAGAACTGATATCTTTTTTTTTTTTGAGATGGAGTTTCACTCTTGTTGCCCAGGCTGGATTGCAATGGCATGATCTCGGCTCACTGCAACCTCCGCCTCCTGGGTTCAAGCAATTCTCCTGCCTCAGCCTCCTGACTAGCTGGGAGTATATGTGCCCGCCACCACGCCTGGCTAATTTTTTTGTACTTTTAGTAGAGATGGGGTTTCACCATGTTAGCCAGGCTGGTCTTGAACTCCTGTCCTCAAGTGATCCACCCACCTCAGCCTCCCAAAGTGCTGGGATTACAAGTGTGAGCCACCGCGCCCGGCCGAGAACTGATATCTTAACCACACTGAGTCATCCGGTCCATGAGCATGGTAGATATTCTTTTATTCAGGTTTTCTTCAATTTCTCTCAGCAATGTTTTACGGTCTTCAAGATACTGGTCTTACACATTTTTTGTTAAATTTATTTCTAAGTATTTTATGGTTTTTTAAAGCTATTTTTAATGAAATTTTTAAAATTTCATTTATGGCAAGTATATAAAAATATAATGATTTTTGTATACTGACCTTATGTCTTGCTAAATAAATTAGTTCTAATAGTTATTTTTTAGGTTTCTTGGGTTTTTCTGCATAAACAAACACCGTCAACTACAAACAGAAACAGTTTTACTTCTTCCTTTCTGATTTTCAAACATTTTATTTCTTTTTCTTGCCTTACTGCATTGGCTAGGATTTCTAGTACAATGTTAATAAGAATGAAGAGCATGGGTGTTCTTGCTTTTCCCCCAATCTTTGGGAAGAGTATTTCATATTTCACCATGAAGCATGATTTTAGTAGTAGGTTTTTCACAGATACTCTTTAACAGATTGAGGACATAGTTGTTAATAGTTTTGTTATTGTTGTTTTGTTTTGTTTTTTTTCTGGAGACAGTCTTGCTTTGTCAACTAGGCTGGAGTGCAGTGGTGCGATCTTGGCTCACTGCAACCTCTGCTTCCTGGATTCAAGCAATTCTCCTGCCTCAGCCTCCCAAGTAGCTGGGACTACAGGTGCATGCTACCACACCCAGCTAATTTTTGTAATTTTAGTAGAGATGGAGTTTTACTATGTTGGCCAGGCTGGCCTCGAACTCCTAACCTCAGGTGATCCACCCGCCTTGGCCTCCCAGAGTGTTAGGATTACAGGCATGAGCCATCACTCCCGGCCTGCTAACAGTTTTTCACTCTGAATGGTTACTAAATTTTGTCAGGTGCTTATTCTGCATTTATCACAATAATCATACAGCTTTTAAAATATAAATCCAATCCTGCATTTCTGAGATGAACTCTGCTTAGTAATCATGTATTATCCTTTTTACATATTTCTAGATTTCATTTGCTAATATTTTATAAAATCTTTGTCACATACTAGTATCGGAGGTATATATATATGGCTTTATAAATGAGTTGGAAAGTGCTCCCTCCTCCTCTCTTATTTGAGTTTCTGTGAACTTAGTATTATATCTTCCTTAAATGTTTCGGAGAACTGACAGTGAAAACATCTTGGTCCACATAGTAACCAATGTTTAATTAGGCATATTTTACTAGGTATTAATCCTTTGTCTCACATATGTTAAAATAGTCTCCCCTGTCTGTCATGAAACCACTAGTTTTATTATTTTTTAATATCTAGAATATAGCATACTTGAGCCCCTTTTTCAGTTTTATCTTTATCCTTTCTGTTGCTTGTTTGCTACTGTCCAGTGATACTTAACTATTTGCACCTCCTGACTTCATTTGTACCATACTGACTTCATTAAATACTATGATCAAATCACAACCTTTTGAACCTATTTTCTTACTTATAAAATGAAAATATCTTGCAGAGATGTGGTCAGAATTATAAGCTTTTCAACAAATAACAGCTAGTATTATGATGATGATGATGCATTATTTTACCCTCTGCCTTGTTTAACATTTTACTACCATTAAACCACGAACTATGCTTCAGGACTCAGTTCCCATCTCCCTGGGAAGCCTTCACTGATTGCCTGACTGCCCCTTACTCTATGACTCTAGAGCCAAATGTACATACTTGTATTAGAACACTTACTGCGGTTATTACAATTATTTATCTGCATTTCCTGTCCTCTGATCTGTGAAACACACAAAAAAATTTAAACATCTTGTGGCCCCCCAGTACTAAGCATAGTATTTAGTGCTCATTATTTGCTGAATAGAGTTGATAAAACCAAAAACATTGCATTTTATCTTCAAAGTATCCTTGCAAGATAGAAAGGATAAGGGCATCTAGAGAGACTAAAGCTCCAAGAAATAAGCAATTTGTCCACATTCAAAAACTTAGTGGTGGTTGGGGGCAGTGGCTCACACCTATAACCCCAGTATTTTGGGAGGCCAAAGCAGGTGGATCACTTGAGGTCAAGAGTTCAAGACCAGCCTGGCCATCTCTACTAAAAATACAAAAATTAGCTGAGCATTGTGGCCCACACCTGTAGTCCCAGCTATTTGGGTGGCTAAGGCATGAGAATCGCTTGAGCTCGGGAGGTGGAGGTTGCAGTGAGCTGAGATCATGCCACTGCACCTCCGGCCTGGGTGACAGAGCAAGACTCTGTCTCAAAAAAAACAAAAAAACACAAAGACATTGGGACTAGATGCCAGAGCTTTTCTTCCCAGGTTCACAAGGAAGGATATAAAAGAAATACTGGCCAAGAAACTGGAAGACTAGTTATAGGCCTAGATGTGCATTTACTCTTGTATTAACCACAGAAAAATCCCTAAATTCTTTATTTCCTCATCCATAGTAAGGATAATTCTACTATAACTTTAACTTACAGAGTTACGAAAGCTTTCAGATATAATAGTGTTTTATGAATTCTAAAGCTCCATATAAAAAGTATTAATGTCTAATGGGCCAGTAATTCACAAACTTTCTGGAGCCTCCTTCTTCTTTGATCACCCCCATATCAATTAACTGCCAAGTCCTATATTGATTGATCCAGCAGGATCTCACATATTTATTACCTCATCTTAATCACTACTAAACTACCCTCAGCCCTCATCCAGTCTCATCAAGATTACTACAATAATCTAACTGCTGCCCTGCTGATAGCCCACCTTCAGTTTCTGCCCAAGTAGACTATGATGTGCTTCTGCTCCACTTCAAAGCTTTCAATGGCTTTCTGCTGCCTTTTCAATACAGAACAAATCCCTTGAACTAACAGTCAAGCTCCCTTACCCTAGATTCTTATCTAGTCTCATTCAGCACATATATATAACATACACACACACACAAACTCTACCTTCTGTGCAGCCTACATACTAGAAACTCAGAAATTCATTTTTCTATAGCATCTGTTTGTGCTGCTACAGATACGATCCTGGAATATCTTTCCTTCTTAACTCCAAAACTTATCCAACCTTTTGATCTTGCTCAAACAATAGTTTGCTTCAAGTCTATCCAAATTTACTCTCCAGCTAAAAAGTAATTCTCCCTCTTGTAATTTATTTGAACTTTTTTTCACAAGACACTTAAGACTTTCTGCTTTCTGTTGTTATTTATGAACGTGCATTCTAGCCCTTACTAGAAGCTCCTTTAAGACAAGATTTATGATTGATTCACCATTCCTACAACAGTGGTGTTCATATGTAAAACCGTCAATAAAAATATGTTAAATTAACTGACACTTTCTATCTGGATTAGCTGATTTTACAAAGCTCATCCTCCTCCTCTCCATTGCCTTTCAGAATCTCTATTACTCAGCAAAAATATCATAGTTTTCTTTTGTGTAAGTTGATTAAACTGTCTATAGGCTAAGCTTTCCATACTGGAACTACCTCTAAGTTTTCCCAAGTCTAAAGCACAAGCTCACATTTCAAAAATTAAAAGTACAAAAACATTAAATGTTAGAGGAAAAACAATCATACTACTAAATTACGTAAGGGTAAAAAAATCAACTGGAGAAGGTGAAAATTTCTAACATTTATCTGTGCACAACTCAGGCTGACACTTTGAAGAGCAGAATGTGACAGCTTACAAGAAAACAAACTCACTCATTCCCCTTAATTTCTGAAGGCTCATGAAAGTCTGACAGGCCAGCCACAGGGTGATCTCTCATGTGTATCGCCCATGACAATTATGGCTTCAATAAAAATGGTCTCCATTTTTAATAAACTCCAACCGGTTTTCAGGAAATAGCCAGGTTAACATGGTCATATTTAAGAAGGCATATTTCACCAATTAGCAGCTAACTTATTTAGTTCATGGACCTAAATAAGACTGTGCATGGAGAGGTACAAAATCAGTGTGGTAGCAGAGGGCAAGGTGGTGTGAAAGGCTGAGTCCAGGGGTCAGCTGTGGTGACACATACAAATGGCTGTGCTGAGGATCACCTTGCCCCTCTACTTTCTTTTGGTTTGATTTGGTTTTCCTCTTTAAACAGCTATTAAGAGTCTTCCTATGAATTTTCAAAGTGTTTATGACTCAAATCTGGGAAATACTGATAAAAATCACAGCTCATTATAAGCATTTAAAATGATTTGCCCTAACGATAGATAAATGAAATATACCGAGTTTTTAAAGTACTCTGTAATTCACACTGGAAATAACCTGCAGTTGTCCTTATATTAATTTGACAGTTGCTTAATATGAAATAATCGGGCTGCTATACAGACACTTTGTTTCCTCCCCATCAAGGATTGCCAGCAGAAGGGGGAAAAGAGGAAAAGAAGTGCTAAGCAATGAAACCTCCTTTCATTTTTAGTCTCCACTCCTATGGCCCAGCTCTTATCAGCTAGTGCAGGACGAAGGAGGAGGAATGAAGGGAGAAAGAGTCCTCCTGCCAATTCTCACCACAACCCTACTTCCAATCTCTCCTAAGCACTGCTGTGTTTCTAGTGACAGAACTCTGCATTAGTTTTTCACTTCAGAAAACAAGCCATCAGAGGTTTAAAATTCACAGACTTTCTGGATGTGGTGGAAATTTCCCCATCATGACTCCTAATTCCAAATAATTAACAACTAGTCTGGGAACACAATCAGTTTAGGAAGAAGATCTTCATCCAATTCTTGAAACAAAATATGCCTCTAATCAAAAACAGTCACACTATTTTCCTACACAAACTTCATTAAACATGAAGAATAGAATTGTGTAGGTTTATAAAACATGAAGGAAGTTCTTCTTTAAACAATATTTATTGCACAATCATATCTATTTTCATGCTAATAATAAACAGCAGAATTCTTACTTTAGAAAAGACAAAACGTAATAATACACCCTCATTATCCTATGCCTCCAAAGAATTTACTTCTCAGTACTATTATGGTAAATGATTATTCCTTAGGAAATAAACCCACACTGGCACAAGACGCTCTGACATGTCTTTCCTATTTCTCACTTCTATTACTGTACGACTACATGGCCATATCCATCAATCACTTTTGTAAACACCACCAAACCACATTGCTATTATGTCCAAGCCAATGGATACTTTCAATACCACATAGTCACATTATTATCCATCTTTATAGACAGGCAGTAAAACTCAACATGACAAAATTTCAGAGAAACAGCTAATGGTGATGTAAGTTTTCCAGCCCTAGAAGTAAAATGGATGTAATTTGTCCAAGAAATACAGGTGAGCAATAACTTCAATCTTTTATTATAGTTTATACTTTTAAATAATTAGCAGGTTTTTTCAACTCTAAGAAGTACCCTGAAAAATACTTATTTCTCAGTAATATATATTTTTAAGAGATGGGGGTCTCACTTTGTCACCCAGGCTGGAGTGCACTGGTGTGATCATAGCTCACTGCCACCTCGAACTCTTGGGCTCAAGGGATCCTCCTGCCTCGGCCTCCCAAGTAGCTGGGACTACAGATGCATGCTACCACACCCAGCTAATTTTTAAAAAAATTTTTGTAGCAATGGGGTCTCACCATCTTGCCCGGGCTGGTCTTGAACTCCTGGGCTCAAGCAATCATCCCACCTCAGCCTCCCAAAGTGCTAGAATTACAAGCACGAACCACCACACCCAGACTTAAGTAATTTTTATGGTAGTTCAAGGACAGCTTAGCACACTCACAGCGCTATTATAAAATGTGCCATGCAAATCAAGTAACGTGCATACATACATATTATAGTGCTTAATTCTTAATTTAATTAAATTATCCAGTATGAAATAACAATATTATAGTTTGAACTTCACTCTTATTAAGGATGAAACAAAACTAATTTTCCTAAAAGGCTTGAGGACACTCTCTGGAAGCGCACTCTTTGGAGAAAGAATAAAAATGCAAATACATTTGTAGTTAAAACAAATGCTATTACAATGAAAAGATCTTTATTAAAAATGGACAAGTTCTACTCAACAACTCAATTATTTGAAGTAATATCCAATCTAAAAAAATTCAAAATGCAGTCAAACAATGTTGAGAAATCTCAGAAGTCCCTGTGAGCAGGTTTCCCAGTAGAAGGATGTCAGATGCAGAAGGATCCTTAGGGATGACCTAGTACATTTCTATTCAGTCTAACTTTCTGCAGTGATGAAAATGTTCTATATCTGTGCTGTCCAGGATGGCAGCCGGCAGCCACATGTGGCATTTGAAATGTGGCTACTGTGACTGAAGAACTGAATTTTAAATTTTATTTCATTGTAATTAATTTCTATTTAAATAGCCTACGTGGATAGTAGCCAGTGTTTGGACTCCACAGATGTAGTCTTTCTTGATACCCTACTCTAATGAAACAGTCACCAGGGCAACTGAAAGAAGATTCAGGGGTTTTCAGACATATGTAGATACAACTACAGATGATTAAATCTGTAGCTTTTTGTTTAGAGGTTCTAAAATACACCTAATTTTATTCAACTGCATCAGGCTACTTTTGGTAACTCCAATTCATTTTAAAAGAAGGATGAAAATGGTCAAATATTCCTCTTGAAGTAATTTTGGTTTTATAGCCCATATAAAAATGAAGGCATATGAGGACCGATGTGGTACGTAGCTATATCACATAAAACATTAAGAAGTCAGGTTCAATCTATCATCTAGGGCATTCATCCCCCTTTTGCATGCAGGGAATTAAAGAGGTAAATGGGCCCCTGAAGCGTGAACTTACAGAGCTCAGAAATCCAAGAAAGAGAACAGCCTCTCCCTTCTACTGAATTCTAGTCATTTATTGCTACTTAGTCCAAACACATATTGAACACCCACTTTGTCCAGGACATTAGATTGAGCACTGTGAAAAATAAACACCAAGACAAACAATACAAGGTGTCTGTCCTCTAGAAACTTACTACTTTTTAGGGTAAAAATGCTACACAACAACTATAAAGCCTGGGCACAGTGGTTCATGCCTGTAATCTCAGCACTCTGGGAGGCCAAAGCGGGAGGATCGCTTAAGGGCAAGTGTTTAAGACCAGCTTGGGCAACATAATGAGACTCGGTCTCTACAAAAAAAATTTTTTTTTTTTTTTTGAGACGGAGTCTCACTCTGTCACCAGACTGGAGTGCAATGGCGCGATCTCGGCTCACTGCAACCTCTGCCTCCCGGGTTCAAGTGATTCTCCTGCCTCAGCCTCCAGAGAAGCTGCAACTTACACGCCACCACACCCAGCTAATTTTTTATTTTTAGTAGAGACAGGGTTTCACCATGTTCGTCAGGATGGTCTCGATCTCTTGACCTCGTGATCTGCTTGCCTCAGCCTCCCGAAGTGCTGGGATTACAGGCATGAGAGCCACCATGCCCGGCCAAAAAAAATTTTACTTAGGTAGCTGTGGTGGTATGGACCTACAGTCCCAGCTACTCTGGAAGCTGAGGTAGGAGGATCTTGCTTAAGCCTAGGAATTTGAGGTTGCGATGCACTGCACTCCAGCCTGGAGGACAGAGCAAAGCCCTGTCTCTGGAAAAAAAATAAACAAAAAAGACTATAGTAAAGGTTATGCATACTGGCCTTACCTTTTCTCTCTACCAATCACCAGTTGCAAATGATCAACTATCACCTTACACAAAATAATTCCTAAATCTCTCGGTAAGTGATTGTGGTTCAAGGCCCACATTTTTGTGTGCTGGACTACTCTCCCTGAATATCCTGAACTCAGTTCAAGAAACATTAACTGTGCATTAGCCATGGGCTAGAAAATAGTAAGATGCCCTGGAAAAATTGGGCCTCATGAATATTCAGACATTTCGTGGCTATATGATGCCTAATGTAACAAGTACATGGAGTTGTGCACAGGTACTACTGTGAGCACACAGAGGAGTTTTTAGTAGCGGCTGAGAGGACAAAAAAGGATACTCAGAGGAGATAAAAACTGAGCTGAGTCTTGAAGGCTGGATTAAGAAGCAGGCAAACACCATGACAGAGAACCACAAGTAATTTAGAGTCATTAGACCATCAGGTTTCAAGCAGGAAAAGTGGCATGAAATGATGCCAGAGAGGTGGGCAGAGGCAAGGTCATGGAATGCCATAAATATCACCAATAGAGTTGAAAAGAGATGAAATGCCATGGAGGTTTTAAGATCTATGCTTCAGATAGCTCACTGTGTGTAAGCAGCATGAAGGATGGATTTGAAGGGATCAACTGCACACAGGGGTCGACTAGGTGACTCTTACAATATACTAGCTGAGTCATGACGATGGTATGGAGGAGACAAGTGTAACAGAAATAGAGCCGAAACTCAAGAAGTATTTAGGAAGTAAAATTATGACATCATACTGTAAGATGAGGAAATGGTAGATGAGCAGAAAAAGGTGGCTGAGGCAGAATAGGGCAGCTAAGATGATTAACAAGTTCTGGCTTGAGTGAATGAATAGATAAATGGTGGAATCATTCAATGACAGAATGTGGAAGAGTGGTGACAAGGCTAGTTTTAGGTACTTGTGGAATATCCAGGTGAATAAATCCAATAGTCAATTAGAAGATGGCAGAGAGAAAGAGCAAAAGAAAAAAGATTTGCATATAACCTGCATTAAGTGGTATTGAAAGTTCTCACTATGTTAAGTGCTAGGAACATAACAAAGAACAAATCACAGCCTCATACAAGGAAGCTTATAGAAGATGACTGTAAAACATCAATTACAGAACTTTGAGTGGTAATGATGTGTCAAGGTAGGTTCATCAATTGTAGCAAATGAACCACTCTGGTGGGGGATGTTGATAATGGGGGAGGGTGTGCATGCCTGGGAGTGGGGGATATATGAGAAATCAGTGTATTTTGCTATGAATCTAAAACTGCTCTAAAAAAAGAAAGTCTAGGTCAGGCACGATAGCTCATGCCTGTAATCCCAGCACTTTGGGAGGCCCAACGTGGGCGGATCACCTGAGGTCAGGGATTTGAGACCAGCCTGGCCAACATGGTGAAACCCCATCTCTACTAAAAATATAAAAATTAGCCAGGCAAGGTGGTGCGTGCCTGTAATCCCAGCTACTCAGGAGGCTGAGGCAGGAGAATCGCTTGAACCCAGGAGGCGGAGGTTGCAGTGAGCCAAGATCATGCCACTGTACTCCAACCTGCGCAACAGACCAAGAGAACATCTCAAAAATAAATAAATAAATAAATAAATAAATAAAGTCAATTGCAGAAGTGATAGTCATGCTGAACACTAAAAGTCAAGCAAGCACTAACCAGGCAGCAGGGAAAGAGGGACAAGGCCAGAAAAGAAACAGTGACATATGTATCCTAAAGTATAATTGTTTTGGACATGCTGCCCTTGAGGAATGGAATAAGACGAGCTTTTCCTTTGAGATAACAAGAAAGAGAAGCATGAGGTATGTTGAAACCCTTAAAATAAAGAAACTTAAAGAATTTACCTTTTAGATGTCCTCAAATCTCTCCGAGAGGTATTAAGTAGGAGCAGACTGATAGTGGAATGTCAGTAAATGTTACAAAACAATGAAAAGGTTTGGAATCCTAGAGTAATAAGGAAATATATAAAAGATGGCAACAGGAAACAAAGGCCTAGTTAAGATTGAATAACATGAACTCTTAGCAAGGCCTATCAGTAAGATTTGTTATTCCCTCTCTCCCTCCTTCCCTCTCTCCTCTCGCCCTTTATTTCTTCCTCCTTCCCTTCCTTCCCCATTACAACTGTGCTCTGCAAAGTGTGCTCCATGGAATACTTGCTACAAAGGAAGTCAAAAGCTGTTACATGGAAGCTGTTTATAAATAAGTTTGAAAAAAAGAGGTTTAATTAAATAAAGCTAAGCATGTTTCTTTACTGTAAGACTCCTCAGAGCTATTCCCAGAAGGAGGATATAATACGCAGTACATTCCCCCACCTTAACTATTAACCCTTTACTTACGAAGTGTTAATATTTGCGTAATACAACCTGGGACACAGTGGACCAGAAGAAAAGGGATGAACGCAGTGGAGACTCAAAAAACAGAAAGCACAGTAGGAATAAGGGAGTAGAAAACTAGGAGGCTGTGGTGGGAGAAGAATTCTGAGCTCATGGCTTTAGAGAAGGAGCTGGCCCAGGGGATAATCAGGTCCAAGCTCTGGTCATTTGTGGTCACATGGGTTAATAAAGTAGAAGGTCTCACACACAGACTGGGTTTGACTAGTAAATGGTTCATCAACATGAATATCAACTGAACCGAAGTTGCCCAAGGCGATGCCAAGTAACAGGAGAGAGGAAAAGAGGTGTCAGAGATGGGCAGATAACAAGAATGGGAAGAGGGAATATAACCAGATGGCAAAGGATTCAAAGGAACGAAGACTGTTGGAAGCTGGTAGGTGCTTTCCCTGAGGCTGTGATGCTGCCGCTTTTTTTTTTTTTTTCCCAGTAGAAACAGGGTTTCACCATGTTGGTCAGGCTGGTCTCAAACTCCTGACCTCAAGTGATCTGTCCACCTCAGCCTCCCAAAGTATTGGGATTACAGGCTTGAGCCACATGTCCAGCCATGTGGTTCTAAATGATGCCAGATCTAAGGCTATGGGCCATTAAGGCCGCCTTCTGCTAGAGGGTTTTCTTCTTCTTTCTACCTTGAATTCAAATCTTTGAACTTATTGGGCCTCCCTAGCTTTACTCAATTAGTTTTTACGATGAATCTTCCCCTTTCCCTAGCCATTTTCAATTGACCTAATGTTTGGGTAGTATGTTTAATCTGATTCAGCTTCTTTCCTAGGTGCTATGTCAAAGACCGACTCTGACAGCATGTGCCACAGTCCATAGATAAAAATGAGATGTCACTTAGTTACTTAAACTCCCTAAACCTTGGTTTTCCATTCTTCATTTGTAAAACAGAAATATTAATAGCATCTAACTCATGAGGTGGTTGTTAGAATTAAATCAGATAAAGCATACTGCTGACACTATAGTTGGTACATAGAAAACTCTCAGTAATAAGCACTACCACCTCCATCGCCAAAGATAACCAAATAAGATGATCCAGCAAACACAAAGGAGATATTTACAGGGAGGATCTTGTAGAAGAGGTGAGTCTGGGATGAGACAGGCCTATGCCTGCAACAGATAGAAGTGTCCAAGAGAAGTGAGGCTGGAATAGTCTGCAACTTAAGCAGCAGGCATGGAAGAAGGAAAGGATTACAAAGGGAGACAGGAGCCAACTATCAGGAAAGAGGCTATGCATATGGTTACTTAAGGCAGTGAGCAGTTCCAACATTGCACTCCCAGTGGAAGATGCCCTTTGTTTATCTTAGAGCTAGGCTTCTCAGGACTGAGGCAGATTAGACCAAGAGCAAGACTTCAATACATATCACTTTGGAGTTCATTTGAAAATATTCCATATTTCATTATGCTGGAAATGGCCCTTGTGGCAGAAAATGTCTTTTTGTAACACTTTTCATGTAATCAAAGAGCATTTGTGGTGACAAGGCACTATGTCACTCAGCTTACTAAAAACTTCATTAACACACTATAAAGAAAAATTATTTAGCCAGCTTAGAATCTGACAGACTCTTGTAGTAAATCATTACCTGTCATTATCATCACAATAAATCGAGGATGAGTATTTTTCTCTACTAGTACTAATAGTAAAATAAGGAGAAAGACCATTGGCTTAGTCTTTGGTAAACCACAGCACTAACAGCACCCCCTCATATAAAAGGACCAATGGACCTATTTAGTCTTTGATGAGCAAGTTTACCGCTTGTTTAGATAGGCTACACACTGAAACAATATATAAATTTGAAAAACAGATCTAACGTTCTGTTTTTATTTACTCATTATTTTTACCTTCAGATAAAAATACTACAATAGTCCTTCCAGGGTTAAATATGAAATGTTACATGTAGATAAGTGTTCAAAGCATACTCAAAAGGACTATAGAATTTATTTTTATGAGTAGGAACATAAGAAGAATAAATGCAAATTAACAGAAATTATAAATCAAGGCATCATGTTTAACTGTGTTAATAAAATACAAACAAAACAAAACAAAACCCAAAACACTTCAGAGCTAGCTGATAGAGATATAAATCATGGGCAAGATTAAAACACAGAATTATCTTCACTCCTCTAACAGTAGATTTTTGGATAATGAAATCAACACCACAGCAACATTTAAAAGGAATAACTTCTACTGCTATTTGACCCAAATGAAGGGTTAGAGTTATAGGACAAACTAAGTACTAGCTTAATTTCATTATTAGAATATAAGAGAAAGTCTACTGAATGAATTTTCACTTTTCAGTATCTATAACTTCTAACCTCTTTGTCCACCACATAAATAAATACAATCCAGATAGTGTTTTGCAAACACAAAATAACAACTCTAACTTCATCAGTGATCTAGTGCATAGAGGGCTCAACTAAGACTGATATTCCATGGTAACTCATCAAGTTTATAAAAGCAAAGTGCCTAGTTCCAATTGGAGTAATCTGTCCTTTGGGATATGCACTATTTAGAAATCATAAATCATAAATATGAGACCATCAACATATGTCCCAATTCAAAAGCACTCATTAACCAAACCAGGGAGAGAAATTCCACATATTCCATACAAATATAAAAGTCACAATTGATCTGTTTCAATATTTTAGTGATTCTGATTAGTTCCCTTTTGGCTCCTATAGTTCTCATGAATTAAATTGAGCTGTAAAGTAATGCAGACCTTATGATTCCAGAGACTGTGAGTCACCAAGGGAAGAGGTCCAAAAAGGTTAAATTTCCACTGAACTCCAAATCAGAGGTTCGAAAGCTAGAGAGATAAAGACATTAGCTGTAGTCTTATGAAACATTTAAGGCTGCTTTCATTTGATTAGGAGTTTGGTACAGGCTCTTTGTGACAAATATAACAAAGATACTTGATATTTTTTAAGCTTTGAAGAAAATCCCAGAAAACAGATTATCTACGAAGAATGTTAAATCAAGCTAAGTAATAATGTGTTTATATACATTCAGAAACTTACTTCAGTGTTATCAAAAAACCAAACCAAAACAAAACAAAAAATGACCACCAAAAGGCTATCATGGAAGGAGGCCACATTCCTTCAGTTACTGAATAACGAAATCTGTTGTGATTTAAAACAGCAGTTATAACAATTTACCGCCTTAGGTCAGCTTTTCCCAAACTATTCTAAAAAGCACTAACCCTCCATGAAATGTTTATAGACAGTTTATAGGATAAAGGGGTGGGGATAGGAGGAATGAAGAGAGAAGAAAAATCCTCTAACAATATTTTTGTTCTAAAATTTTTAATACACAAAAATACTGAGTATATTTGATACAGTTAAAATTACCATGAGATAAGCTACTCATAATAGCATGCCACACCTCAGAAAGCCAGGATGTCCACAGTATACCACATATGCATGAATGCATTGATGCTCAAGTGATGCATAAACATACAACTATTGTGTTTTACGTTATTGAATCATAGCTGATTTGTGCTGTGATTTTTGCCTAATAATTTCAACATATATTTTAACTTTTTATTATATAATAAAGGCATAAATCAAAACTTAATTTCTTCCAGCCATTACTTTGTGTATGTGAAATAACTTTTTGTAATCTATTTTAATACAAGTTTATGTTCTTTTTTCTGAGTTTCTACTGATGCTCTGTCAATACATTATCATTTTTAAAGTTTTCCATAATCACAAGTTCAAAAACTGTTATTTTAGCTAAACACAGGTATAATAATACATGCCTCAATTTTGGAGACAATGAATTATGTTGTACCTGTTTTTAAAATTTTAAATGGCCTTTCTCTTTCTGCCAACTTGGAGCCTGTGGAGGCCTGCTGGGAACAGGAATACTAAAAGGAAGTATGTCTGGAAGGCTGTGGTCCAAGGCCATTTTTGCTGAGCATAAGTGGGGTCTCCAGAACCAAAGACAGCACACAGCTCTTTTTAAAATAGAAGGTGCTTATGCTCAAAATGAAACAGAATTCTGTTCGGGCATAAGATGTACTTATATATACAAAACAAAGAACAACAAAGTGACTCCTGGTGGCAAACCAAACAAAACCAGAGTAATCTAGGGAAAGGTAACTTGGTCCCAGGGAAATAGTGGCATGGTTCATGCCAAATTCTGAAGCAATCTTCCTGCTAAGGCCACTGGACACAGAATCTGTGTGACGCTGTACCCCTCAAGCATTTAAATTAATGAAAAGTAAATAAATAAAAGTGGATTTGTGCTCTTGGAAAAAAAAAAAGTAAAAAAAAATTTAAATGACAGAAACAGTTCTGAAGAAAAAGACAGATATAATAACATGATCAACTTAATTTGCATCATTCAAAACTCAATATGATGTCCCATTTACCTTTTAAATTAAGTAGCACATAAATAAAAATGCAAGTTCAATACTAATAGAATTACACACTCTTATTTACAGTGATAGAGGCTTTAAACAGTCTTTCTCTGACAAGTCATAGGACAAGAGATGATAGGAGAATGCGTAGTCGATATTTTAATAACTACAGCGAAGACAAAAGATGCACAATTTCTAAGTTGCAATAATCTATTTTGTATGTATGATTTGAAGTAAAGACTTTATGCTATATATCTATATTTAAATTGTGGTTTACAAAGAGAAACATATTACTAGCCTCATCACAGCAACAAAATCATTCTAAAGTCTAGGTTTTTCATTTTTTACTTTTAAATGTCCTCTCCTTCCTGTACTCCTATCTCTCACTCTCTACCTTTACCAGCCACAGATGCAAAAAACAAAAGCAAAACCAAAACCACTTCATTTTGTTATTTATGACAGCCTTCATGGAAAAACCAATGGAAGGATGAAACGAAAGGCTTATACATTTCTATCTTTTCAATTCCAGACATAAAACTCAACATGGAAAGGAAGATGAAATAGTCACTAAAATCCTTAGGCTTCCTTTCAACAATTAATCCATTTTCTTAAGAAGTTTGCTATATAAATCAATTGCAGATTTAAAGCTCTTTATAATAACATTTTATACTTATTGTGAATATTCAAAAAGTACATAAAAATATATATGTATAGTCTAATGAATAAATATAAAACAAATATCCAAGTCCAGAAATAGAAGCCAACATTGCAGAAACAGAAGAAACCCCCTTAAAAATACGTCCCCCATGCCCTTCAGTTACTACAGCTTTAATGTAAATTTCACAAGTTAACACACTATAAGTGAAATGAAACAGTGCCACAGGTGTTGTAAAAGAGGAGTATTTGGCTGGGCACAGTGGCTCATACCTGTAATCCCAGCACTTTGGGAGGCCAAGGTGGGTGGATCACCTGAGGTCAGGAGTTCGAGACCAGCCTGACCAAGATGGTGAAACCCTGTCTCTACTAAAAATACAAAAATTAGCCTGGCGTGGTGGTGGGTGCCTGTAATTCCAGCTACTCAGGAGGCTGAGGCGGGAGAATCACTTGAACCTGGGAGGCAGAGGTTGCAGTGGGCCAAGATCGTGCCACTCCACTCCAGCCTGAGTGACAGAGAAAGACTGTGTCTCAAAAAAAAAAAAAAAAGAGAAGTATTTAAAAATTCCTCCAAGATGCATTGATAGAGGACTTTTATAACATATAGAACATTTTGTTCAACTTTCCAGTGAAAAATGCCAGGAGTAAGTATATTGATTCATTTAGAATATAAATTACAGAAGTGTTTGAATTTAATTTTGTGAAACACCACACAGGAGGGCCATAAAACACAGATTGTGTGTTTGTAGCACTTCCAGCAGCTAGCAGTGAGGAAGACCAATATTAGCCCTGAAGTTGCAGAAAACACTAAATAACAGCCATTTCGACTCAGTAGCACCTAAATATATAATTATAAATAACAAATTAACAGATTGGTCTCTGTGATCTTTGCTGGTTTCTGAAAAACTAATAAAAGCTTAGGTAATACTCCTTACTTCCATTCCAGTAGAGGTGCTCACACACCAGGGTGGGCTTCTGGGCACCTTACCTCTTGTGCTAGAGACCAGAATGTAGGTAATTACAGTACCATGGATTCACAATGACTGTTGACATGAACTCCTCTCGTTGTAAGGTAGTTTGGGTTACAAAATCCTTTACTTACAGAATTAATCAAAGGAAGGTTTTAAGGAGATAAATATCAACAGCTTCAAAATAAACGTAACTGCAAAATATTAATCTTAATACGATGTCAAATTTAATTCTTTTCCTTAATAAAACAAGCCACTCAGAGTTCAATGTGACATTTAAGTAAAGAATTTCCAAATTCTGGCTGGGAGCAGCCGCTCACACCTGTAATCCCAACACTTTTGGAGGCCGAGGTGTGCAGATCACTTGAGGTCAGGAGTTCGAGACCAGCCTGGCCAATATAGTGAAACCCTGTCTCTACCAAAAATCCAAAAATTAGCCAGGTGTGGTGGTGCATGCCTGTAGTCCCAGCTACTCAGGAGGCTGAGGCACAAGAATTGCTTGAACCTGGGAGGTGGAGGTTACAATGAGCCGAGATCATGCCATTGCACTCCAGCCTGGGCAATAGAGTGAGATACTGTCTCAAAACAACAAAAAATTAGAAAATAAAAATTGAAAATATTGCGAAACCCTGCTAATAAACAATGTTTAAGAACCCTTAGTTTAAGGCCGAGCGCGGTGGCTCATGCCTGTAATCCCAGCACTTTGGGAGGCCGAGGCGGGCAGATCACGAGGTCAAGAGATCGAGACCATCATGGCCAACATGGTGAAACCCAGTCTCTAATAAAAATACAAAAATTAGCTGGGTGTGGTGGCGCACGTCTGTAGTCCTAGCTACTCGGGAAGCTGAGGCAGGCAAATGGCTTGAACCCAGGAGGTGGAGGTTGCAGTGAGCCGAGATTACATCACTGCATTCCAGTCTGGTGACAGAGCTGGAATCCATCTCGAAAATAAAGAACGCTTTATAGGCCAGGCACAGTGGCTCATGCCTATAATCCCAGCACTTTGGGAGGCTGAGGAGCGAAGATTGCTTGAGCCCAAGAGTTCAAGACCAGCTTGGGTAACAATGGTGAAACCCTATCTCTACAAAAAAATACAAAAAACTAGCCAGGTGTGGTAGCACATGCCTGTAGTCCCAGCTAAACGGGAGGCTAAAGTGGGAGGAAGTATACAGCCCCGGAGGTTTGAGGCTGCAGTGAGCTGTGACAGCACCACTGCACTATAGCCTGGCTTTAAATAAAAAAATAAAAGAACCCTTTATAAACAAGCATTCCTAGTACAGAACATAAGACACTGAAAATGCAAACCAAATATATTTTCAACTTAAAACCAAAGCAAACAATTGTTTCCCTTGCGCTAAAAATCTTTTCTTCCACCAATCCCACCTATATAGGTATGTCTGACACTTACTTCTCACTAACCACTGCAAGCGTGGGCAATGTTGTCCCTGTGGGTCATGACTTGCTAAAGTTCTAGAATAATATCTGGAGATTTGATGGATAGAAAAATAAACAAGTGTATTAAACATCCAAGGTATTTTGTTAAGTACACTGATAATGACAGAATAGCAAACAATCACAGGGAGAACCCCCTTCAAATCTCTAGATAAGCTTTACACAAATTTCCTCAAATCTCCAACAAACACAGGAATGGATGAGCAGACAATTTATCAATTTGATGGAATATTATTGCAACCATTAAGGCTAAACATTATAAAATTATATAACACAGAAGATTTTATAATACAGCATAAATTTTAAACATACATTTATGTCTAGCTATAAGACATCATATATATGGGCAAAGACTTAAAAAGAATACAACAAGAAATAAATACTTAGTGTAGTTGTGGGGACTTCTCCAACCCTCCATATGTTTACAAAGTAAATACAAATCAGAAGGTCTGGTTGAGGGCGGTGGCTCACACCTGTAATCCCAGCACTTTGGGAGGCCGAGTTGGGTGGATCACTTAAGGTCAGGAATTTGGGACCAGCCTGGCCAACATGGCAAAACCCCATCTCTACTAAAAATATAAAAATTAGCCGGGCAACGTGGCGGGCACCTGTAATCCCAGCTACTTGGAAGGCTGAGGCAAGAGAATCGCTTGAACCCGCGAGGCAGAAATTGCAGTGAGCTGAGATTGTGCCGCTGCACTCCAGCCTGGGTGACAGAGTGAGACTCCATTTCATAAATAAATAAATAAATAAATATTAGAAGGTCGAAAACGCAAGGACTCTTCTCCCTAAATAACTGTAAAACCATCATCAGCACCTGAGTAATCATCTCATATTTATGATCTACACTAAACACACCAAAACTTGCTATATATTACCCGTTTCAGGCATGCTTCTGGGCAAGGTCACCAGATAAAGGGGAAACAAGGTCCTGTCTGAGTATTCTGATTAAGAAGAGAGAAACAAATGACTACTTCATAGCAAGGTGACAGAGGTATTGTAACCAATGGCATGTTTTACTGCCATCTCAAGGTATCAAATTATACATTACTTCTTACCCCAATTAACCATCATGTCCAATTTAAGCTCAGAAAGTTACAATACAAATGTTATGTCCTGATAACTTAAGTGACAAGGATAACGATTATATCGGTTTGATCTACTTTTCATCATATCAGATATTACATTGCTGTTACAGTGAAAGACATTTAGATTCAAGGATATCTGAGATATCCAATTTCCAGACACAAGGATAAGTCTTCCATTATTTATGCCTGCCTTGTAAAAGCCATATGGGTCAAAAGCTCAATAAGATAATTCTGAAATTACTGGCACTATCTCGAAATGCAGAATTAGTTTGGATTCTATTAACGTGATGTAAGAGTTGCCCTTAGCACCTAGGTTTTTTGCAGAAAGTAACAAATTAATCCTAAAATTCAGAGTGAAATGCAAAGAATCCAAAAATAGCCAAAACAAATTTGAAAAAGACCAAAGCTACAGGACACACACTTCCTGATTTTAAAACTGACCACAAAGCTATGCAACCAAGACTGTGTGGTACTGGCACAAGGATAGACATATAGATCAGTGTCACAGAACTGAGAGGCCAGAAACAATCCTTACGTCAACTGGTTTTGAAAAGGTGCCAAGACAATTCAACACGGGATAGAAGAGTCTTTTCAACAAATGGTGCTGGGACAACTTGTTATCCACATGCAAAATAATGAAGTTGAACTCCTACCTTACACCACATATGAAAATTAACTCGAAATGGATATTCACATGGAAAATAATAAAATTGGACTTCTAATTTACATCATATACAAAAATTAACACAAAATGGGTAATGGTCATAGTGTAAGAGCTAAAGCTATAAAATTCTTAGAAGAAACATAAATCTTCATGATCTTAGATTAGCTTCTTAAATATGATCCCGAAAACAGAAGAAAAAAAATGATAAACTGACTTTGTCAAAATTAAAAATTTTTGAGCTTCAAAGTGTAACATCAAGAAAAAGAAAAAAAAAAAACACAAAATGGGAGAAAATATTTGCAAGTCATATATCTGGTAAGGAACCTGCATCTAAAATATACAAAGAATGCCTAAAATTCAATAATAAAGACAAAAAATTTGAATAGGTATTTCTCCAAAGAAGATATAGAAATGGCCAATAGACAAATGAAAAGACTCTCTCTGCTAATGGTACTATGAAAGTGATATTCTTATCCACTACTGGCAGCATAGTAAATTGCTACAATTAATCTGTGGAAAAATGATTTTATGACAAAAGTTTTTAAAAGATTTTTAAACAAATGTTTTGTGCCCTTTGACTTAGTCATCTAATTTCTGGAAATCACCTAAAGAAACAATATCAAATATGGGAAAATATATATACATATATAATGATGTTGCCACAATGTAACTGAAGGTAAAACTGGATGCAACCTGTATGTTTGAGAATATAAGAACCATTATATTCTCAAAATCTAATCATGGACTATTATACATTCCTTGATAATGCTGATAATGGTATGAAAATATAACAGAAAATGTGTATTCTAAGAGATGAAAACAAAATTCAATATTAACTCCTAATTGTATTTACCTAAAACATACATATAAAATAACAGCAAATTTATAAAACTAAAAGATAATTATCTTAGTGTGGCAGAATTATGGGTATTCTTCTCAAACCTTCTTATTGAGTTGTCAATAATATTTTCATAAAGAAATAAGGATACTTTTACCTTATCCCAGAAATCGATCAAAGCTGTAAAGTCCCATTTCTTAGAATATGCCACATTGTATTTCAGAATAGCATCCTGTGGAAAATGCAGAAACAAAAAAACGTCATGGTATGGCCAAGTGAATGACCTATGAAGAGCCTGTCTCTTATGAATTACCTCCAGTACATTTCATAATGTTAGACAAGCTTCCTACTACCTCCCCCTGCTACTGATATGGACATCAGTAGCTACAGACAAACAGAATGAATACTAATTTATTACTCACTTAAAAAAATGAGATTAGAAAGGTCAAGTAATAGGTGAAAAAACACAATTACACCCTAAAGCATGCATTCTAAATAAGGTGATATACTCCAAATAGACAAAAACTGGATCTTGAGGGGTAAAAAATAAACTTAGTTATCACAATTGTTGGTGGTCCTTGAAAGCGTCAGATTATATATACACAGACATACACAGCAGATTTGTAGTATGAAAATTTCATGGGTCAGTTAATAGGGTTGAGGCATAAATTTTTTTGTAAAAAATAAAAAATAAAAATTTCATGGGGATGAGGAGATTAGAAAAAAAGTATTTAAAAACTGTCTTTTTTCCTTTACTATAAAGTATTTTTATACTATATATAAATTATTATCTTCCTCCAGCAGTTCACATAAATTACACATTTATGTAGAATGAAAAGTCAAAATATTATGCCATCTACTGGTGTAGCTTTTAACTGTTTGAATAGGCAATACTATACATCTGGTTTCCAGAGTCAGGTATGCATAAGGCAATCCACTAGATGTGCAGAAACAACTATTTATTTATAATTACCTTTTATCTCATCCTTTTAAATATCTACTTTGGTTTTATTTTATACTGTACATACTACATTAATAAAGTAATAGATATGTAGAATTTATAAATGACTATTTATATTGGTAACACACACTCAAAATTTTTTTACTGAGGCACACAGGTCTGAAAACCACTGTTAGATTATTACTATAAATCTTCCAAATTTCGTTATCATTGAATAAGTTTTTAAAAAATTAATACTCTGTCAAAGCTTCCTGAATAGTACTTCATGCCATACTAAGTATCTAGGTTAAAAGATGAGCCAACAAAATGTGTCTTATTCACTTGGAATCAGGGGACATCCAAGTTCCTTAAGAAAAGAAAAGAGAAGAGAAGATAAAAGAAAAAGAAAAATCTTCCCTAAAATAAGATAGCCAGAAAGAGTGAAAGAGTCTTTATTTTTCACTCACAAGTCATACATAACATTTTCCATTAAGAAATAAGAGATTTTAGGCTGGACGCAGTGGCTCGCGCCTGTAATCCCAGCACTTTGGGAGGTTGAGGTGGGCGGATCACAATGTCAGGAGATCCAGACCATCCTGGCCAACATGGTGAAACCATGTCTCTAATAAAAATACAAAAATTAGCTGGGTGTGGTGGCATATGCTTGTAATCCCAGCTACTCGGGAGGCTGAGGCAGGAGACTCACTTGAACCAGGGAGTCAGATGTTGCAGTGAGCCGAGGTCGTGCCACTGCACTCCAGCCTGGGTGACAGAGCGAGACTCCGTCTCAAAAAAAAAAAAAAAAAAAGAAAAAAAGAAAAAAGAATTAAGAGATTTTGGCCTGTACGGTGGCTCACACCTGTAATCATAGCACACTCCGGGAGGCCGAGGCAGGTGAATCGCTTGAGTCCAGGAGTTCGAGACTAGCCTGGGCAACATGACAAGACCCCTAGAAAAAAATACAAAAATTAACCAGGCATGGTGGTGCGTGCCTGCAGTCTCAGCTACATGAGGGTGCTGAGATGGGAGGATCGCTTAAGCAAAGGAGGTTGAGGTTGCAGTGAGCCGAGATTGCACCACTGCACTCCAGCCTGGGTGACAGGGCAAGATCCTGTCTCAGAAAAAAAAAAAAAAGAAAGAAAAAAAAAATTAAAAGATTTTAAGGATTTTTTTTTCCAATCACTGGTATCTAATTTCAAAACTTCATAAAGTATTAAATAGAAATGTGTATCAATAGGTGAAGGAATAAACAATGCATATACTGGAGCAAACTATCAATATATTGAACAACATGGATGAATCTCAAAATTATCTTCATTTTGAGTGAATGAAGCCAGACATACCCACTATGATTCAATTCATGCAGAATGTAAACTATAGTGAAAAAGAACAGATTAGTAGTTGTCTGGGGCCAGAGCAGAAAATGGAATGGACTGCAAAGTGGGGAGAGGAATCTTTGGGGATGATACAAACATTCTGTATCTTGATTATAATGGGAGCTTCATGGGTATGTGTAAATGTCAAAACTCATCAAATGACACACTTTAAAAGGATAAACTTTCTTATCCATATGTTATTATTCCTCAAAGTTGGTAAGGAAAAAAATTTTAAGTAGCAATTGCATTCTAATTCTTCACTGTAATTCTCTGATTATTTTAGTGTTTTATAATTAGCATTAAGCTTTAGCTTGTATTTATTTTTACTTCAGTCTTCAAGTCTCAAAAGTAGTCCACCATGAGATTGCTTGTCATTAGAAAAACTGGATACTACTCTGTACTCTTGAGTTATCAACGACTGAATAAGTTCTTTATGGTTCATAATTCACAATAAGCACAAAAAATTCTTTCTGTGCAAATTATCACACACATTATTTATATAAGTACTACTGTGTAAATCAACTTTTGAGGACACTATTACTTTTTAAAATTCTGAATGTCTCTAATCCCTCTAAATCCAACATCAAATGGTATATGAACAGCAAAAAGATCATTATATTCAATTAGAGGGATTTAATGTTTCCCTCTTCCTCTCTCAAAGCATTCTTTCAGCAAAGGAAACAATTACCATAAGCAGATAGAAAAATATCTCGATGGATTACTCTGTTCTATTGAATCTACCATAAGGGAAACGCAAAAAGGAAATTCAGATTAAAGCAATTACCCCTTCCTGAAATAATCATGGTGCACTAAGGAATTGCTAGAGAAGTAAGCAGACTGTGTAAGTTAAAACACTATAGTTATTCTTTTTTTTTTCTTCAAATATGGAGTTTCGCTCTTTGTTGCCCAGGCTGGAGTGCAGTGGCATGATCTCGGCTCACTGCAACCTCTGCCTCCTGGGTTCAAGCAATTCTCCTGTCTCAGCCTCCTGAGTAGCGGGCATTACAGGCACCCACCACCGTGCCCGGCTAATTTTTATATTTTTAGTAGAGATGAGGTTTCACCATGTTGGCCAGGATGGTCTCAAACTCCTGACCTCTGGCGACCTGCCTGCCTCGGCCTCCCAAAGTGCTGGGGTTACAGGCTTGAGCCACCACACCTGGCCTCACTATAATTATTCTATTTGCAGTTGAAGAAATATAAAAATTCTTAAAAACAGCCTCTGTTTAGAAGAATAAAAATAAAGAACCTAAGATAGTGTTCATCAAATGGACTCTGGGTAGTATTCCTGGGCAGCCTGCTTCTATGTGAGTTTATAATTTTGTTTTTAGAGAACAATGGCCAAATAACAACACGCTGTACGAATGAAGGCTAGTACTATTAATAGAAAAAATAGTGAAAAGATTGAGCTGTCCTACTATACACCACAGTACAGGTATGTTAAATTCTAACGAACCTTCATCCAGATGTGGTAATTACATGCCTGTAATCCCAGTACTTTGGGAGGCCAAGGCAGGTGGATCACTTGAGCTCAGGAGTTTGAGACCAGCATGGGTAACATGGCAAGACCCAGTGTCTCAGCCAAAAAATATAAAAAATTAGCCCAGTGTGGTGGCATGCACCTGTGGCACATGCCTGTAACATTATACTAAAACCAAGTAAACTCTAGCAGAACTTGAGATTTTTTTCCAGCTACTCAGGAGGCTGAGGCATGAGAATCGCTTGAGCCAGGGAGGTGTAGGTTGCAGTGAGCTGAGATCGTGCCACTGCGATCTGATGTTCTATATAAGGATCCCATCTTTGTATCCACCAACATCCATCAACTGTTCATGATTAGTAGGAAAAGTAATAATTGCAAAATAATTTCTTCTTTATGTAGTATTTTAAAGAATTTCTCAGCATACTATTTTGGGGTTTGGATCAGCGGTTTGAAAATTTCTGTGCAAAAAAAGGAATAATGACTACAAATTGTTTTCACTGTGATAATAAATACAAATCAAATGATGGTTCATTATACCTGAAATTTTAAAAAAAATCACACTGATATAGCTGTATAAGCACTACAGGTATAAGGAGTTAGCTGGGAGCAGTGACTCATGCCTATAATCCCAGCCAGCACCTTGGGAGGCCAAGGCCAGGTGGATCACTTGAGCCCAGGAGTTGGAGACCAGCCTAGGGAACACAGAGAAACCCCGTCTCTACAAAAAACTAAAATAAACAAAATTAGTCTGGGCATGGTGGCACACACCTGTAGTCCCTGCTACTCAGGAGGCTGAGATGAGGATCGCTTGAGTCTGGGAAGCAGAGGTTGCAGTGAGCTGTGATCACCCCACTGCACTCCACCCTAGGTGATGGAGCAAGACCCAGCCTCAAATTAAAAAAAAAAAAATATATATATATATATATATATATATATATATATACACACACACACACATATATATGTATATACATGTATATATATACACATATATATACATATATACGTATATATACGTGTATATATATACACATATATACATATATACGTACATATATACGTATATATATACATGTATATATATACACATATACGTATATATATGGAGTTTATATTTAGTTGTATGTTTGCATACACATAATTAACATTATACTAAAACTAAGCAAACTCTAGCAGAACTTGAGATTGTTTCCATTTAAAGGGTTTGCTTTTTGTAGCTGTGAGCCTGAGTGGTTAGCGTATTGCTGGTATTGCTGGAGGCAGGGTTGATCCCTCACCTGATACTTGTGTTCAAGACAATCTAAATTGTGTTAGGGAAGGGACTGACTGTACTCATGGCTAACCTGAAATATTAAAATAAGGCTGCCCCTAAAACCTTCTTAGTCACACAGGATCCCTGTAGCCAAAACAGTATATGTTCCAGCTGCAGAGAGCAGACTGCTCTCAGCTTGCACAGCACCTTAGGTGTGGGAAGAATATATGGATAGGGAATGGGGTGGAGAAAGAAGGACGGAAATGTTGTCACCCAGGTGGTTTTAGGGTCTAAGGAGTGGAAAAGGATGGCACTGGGGAGGTCTTCATGGATCTGTGTAGGAGTTCCCTGTAGATAAATTACTGATCCCCCATCTACTATCCCCAGTATGTAATGGCTGAATTAATACGTAATCAACTGCATTGTATCTAAAGCCTTAGAACTAGTCAGGTGCTCCTCCCACCTAATACCATTTCTTACCCCGTAATCCTACCTGATTTTTAACAAACCATTAATAATTCTAATGATAATCTCTATTTTGTTTTGTTTTTTTGTAACTGTTTTAAATAAATCAATTTGTACTGTAAAAAAGAAAAATAAACAGTCTGCTTTTCTTTTCTTTTTTTAAAAAAAGAGCCCATTAGAAGATTGAGAAACACTGTCCCCAAGGAATAAAGCCTTCAAAATACATTATGATATAACATATCAATGTTTTCCATGTAAAGAAAAAAAACAGGAGCTACAGAAAGGTATAGAAAGTTTAACAATAACTTGCAAGTATCAGTAGAAAACATTAAGAAAGCTGAGAAACTATATACAACAAATTAAGTCTCTGAAAGAAAATAAAACTCATTTTCATAGAAGTATAAAAAATTCTGTCACTGTTTATATTTATAAAAACATGAAAAGTTTTCATGGCTATAGTGCCCCCAAATATAAATATATATATATACACACACACTCTCACTCATATTTTAGATATTAGAAAAACAATCTACTAGTTACCCTTGCAGTCATAAATGAAATATAAATATATCAAAAATAAATTATTGCCAAAATATAAGATTAATAAATTATTAAACTGCTAGGAGCTATATTAAGGGCAATAAAAACCAGAATGCTTAACATATACTTTAATCATTGGGAAACTCAGCTTCCCTTTGGGCAAATATTGCTGAAGTCATAATTCTTTCCTGATTTACTTTTAAAGATATTTCAGAAACATGATAATTTTAAAACAAAAAAAAGAAAGAGAAGCTTGCACTGAAGGAAATTGGATGGGGAATCAAGAAACAGAGGTATTATTCCTGGTTCTCCAAATTATTCTGTGTGGCTCCAGGCAAGGCATTTGCAACTCTCAGTTCTTCTCATTTCCTAGTAGAATGTCTCTAAGGGGCCTTCCTTAGTGCCAGGAAGCAAGCATTTTGCATCTAAACAATGTTGCTACCTGAGTCTATTAAGACCAAAAAGTCTTTGAAAGAGGAGACACAGGGCCCATAAACAGGCAAGCATGGTAAAAACAACATACCTTCAAGTTTTGGGGTCGTGTAAATTTGTTGAGAAGTGCAGTCTGAATGAGCTCCCACCGGCTCCCCGCAGTTCGCTCACCATTCTTTTGGAAAAAAGAAAAACATATGAGGAAGCTATTCTAAGTTGTTTTGCATCACAGAATCAAAGGTCAAACAAGCAAGTACCAAACCATTTTTCAGAGACTAAAAGAATCTCGGTTTTGTTCTTACCTCATCTTCCACTGGGTACAAATTTTGTTCTGAACAAGGCATTTTAACATGCTTGTTATCCCACAAATCTTTATAATGTGTTGGAAAAGGTTTAGGAACTTCTCCTGCTCGCAAAAGATCTACCTGAAATTGAGGGTAAACAAAATTGTCAGTGCATAAAAACAAAATGTATCTTCTATAAAATAATCCTAAGTAACCAAAGCAAATGCTATAAAATAGAGACCAGCTCCCAGGCAAGAAATCACCAAAGAACCCTTCAGTTCTTCCCATTCCTCACCTCCATTCAACCAGGTCCAAGTCACCAGATATAGTATATATTCTAGCTCCATATCCCCTAGGAATCCTTCCTTGCCTCAGCTTTTACTAAGTGTTTCCTATCCTTCTCCCTAACTCCAGCTGTTGCTAGACACATCTAGCCCCCATAAAACCCTTTCTAAAGAACTCCCAGGCTTCTAATGCTATAACGCCTATACTCTGATTCTAAGTGTCATCCTGATTTTCATATACGTTCTTATCAAAACACCATTCATTCCAAACAAATCTTAAACAACACTTAAAATTCCTTAAACATAGCAAATTCATTTTCATATTTATATGCCTGTATACATACTACTGTGGCCTCTCTTTTTAATACCACTACTACCAATTGCCACCTCCCCCACTGTATCTGGTTAAATCTCTATTGTCACCTTCATAGCTCTGCCAGATTTTCATTATCTTTATGAAGTCTTTAGAAACTTCAAAGTAGTCAGCTATTTATCTTGTTTTGTTAGATTATTATCATGCTAGAGCACACTTGTCTTCCTCTCCCTCACTAGATCCCAAACTTCCTGAAAATAACCATATTAACTTTGTATTCTGAATATGTAAGATAGAACCTGGTATGTGTACATGTGTACGTGTACACATGCAAATATATATATACACACATATGCTACTATAATAACTATTAAGTAAATGTTTGAGGAAGTGGTACAGTAGGTAGCCAGTCAGACATGAGCAGGGCAGGACAGGGCCCCTACCACTACCAGGAATGTCAGACAACCCTCAAGTGATGCACAGGGAGTTGTGAAACTGCCTCTGTAAAATAATTGGAAGCAGCCGGCGCCAGGGAAAGGAGTCACCCAATAGATAGAAAAATCTGAAATTGGTGATCAGCAGCTTCCTGTTAAGATCTTAGGAGTTGGGCAAGTCAGCTCCAGCATGTGTACTAGGGAGCAAAATGGCAAAGTTTAACTGGTATATGACCTTATAAGAACACTCAACTGGTAAGGGAAGAATACCTCAAGCAAGCATATGTACAACTCCAGTAATCACACCGCGCATGCAGACAGCCCATCTCAAGGGAAGAATCAGGGGAGAAGGGGACACAACCCCCTGGAAGCATGCCAACATATAAAACCTCAAGTCAAAGGTCAAACTGTGTACTTGATCTCTCAAGTCGCCCGCTTGGCCCTCTTCCAAGTGTACTTTACTTCCTTTCATTCCTGCTCTAAAGCTTTTTAATGAACTTTCACTCCTGCTCTAAAACTTGCCTTGGTCTCTCATTCTGCCTTATGCCTCTCAATCAAATCCTTTCTTCTAAGGAGGAGTATTAACATTGCTGCAGACCCATATAGATTTGCCACTGGTAAGAGAAAGAGATTATGGTTTAAAGTTTAACATTATGCCTATTCTGGATATTTCATATAAAAGAAATCATATAATATGTGGCCTTTTGTGTCTGGCCTTTTTCACTTAGCATAATGTTTTCAAGATTAATCCATGTGGTAGTATGTATGAGTACTTCACTGCAGAGCATAATCACATAAATATATAATTTCACTTGTAATATGTTATGAATACGAGGAACACTGTGTTATGAGACCAGCTCAGATTTAGTTTATCTGGTAAACTTAGGTAAGGCTTCCTTGAGGAAGTGGCAACTGAGCTTAACTCTAAAGGCTAAAAAATTAACAAGGAAAAGGGTGAAACAAAAATAAAATTCTAAGCCCCGCAACCAACTGAATGGGCCCCTCCCTCAGCCAAGGGCATTCTAAAGCAAACCCCATACACTAGTTCAGGCCATGATGGGAACGGGTGGTTGGACATGCTTCATTATACCTTCCTCCCTTTGAAATTTAGATGTGACTGACCAGCATTAACATTAAAACAGGTACTTTAAGACTGACAAGGCAGACTCTTTATAGCAATTAAGATACCAACATGACAGATACCAAGCTCTGAAAGAAACGGAAGTATTTTACCCCAAAATGTATTTATTTGAAATATTTTGAAATGGCCCTGCTAAACTGTGTCTTGTGGGTAAAATCTACATTGTGTAGAGCAAGGGTCCCCAACCCCCCGGAATCCAGACAGGCATGGACTAGGGGTCTATGGCCTGTTAGGAACCAGGCTGCATAGCAGGAGGTGAGCAAGGCTGAGCTCTGCCTTCTGTCAGGTCAGTGGCAACATCAGATTCTCATAAGACGAAGAACCCTATTATGAACTGTGCATGGGAGGGATCTAAGTTGCACACTCCTTATGAGAATCTAACAAATGCCTGATGATCTGAGGTGGAACAGTTTCATTCTGAAACCATCCCCCAACCCATGGAAAAATGGTCTTCCATAAAACTGGTCCCCGGTGCCAAAAAGTTGGGGACTGCTGCTGTAGAGAATCCCCTTCCCTTTCCAGGTCTTCCCTGATCCAGTCCAGGAGAGAAGTAATGAAGCATCTGGTAAGAGCTCTGAAGCCTGTTACCTACAAGCATCAACTGCATGATAAAACCTTGGTCTTTAGAAACCCTTCTTAACCCAGACATCCCTTTCTATTGATTCCAGGTCTTTAGATAATAACCCTTTTAACCAATTGCCAAGCAGAGAATCTATGACCTGGAAGCCCCTTTCGAGTTGTCCTGCCTGCTGGACCAAATCAATATGCATCTTACATGTATTGATTGACGTCTTATACCTCTCTAATACATATAAAACCAACCTATAGCCTGACCACCTTGGGCACATGTACTCAGATCTCCTGGGGCGGTGTCACAGGCCATTGGTCACTCATATTTGGCTCAGAATAAATTTCTTTAAATATTTTACAGAGTTTGACTCTATTCACCAACATTCCTTAAAAAGGGAAGAACTATGGAAAGAAGACTGTCAAACAGGCAGCTTCGTAAAAACATCTACTGAGACAGAGCAGGGAGCCCTCTTAGGGGCCTGCCAGGAGTGCCCTCAAGCAAGGAAATAAAAGAAAATCTCGAATCCCTTTGTTAGGAATAATGCTCAAAATCCTAAGGAAATTGAACACTTGAACAAAGGATTCTTAGCAAAGCAATTTTACTTCTGCACAGAGGAGTGCCTCCTTGGCCAGTCGCCATGAGAGCACACCTGAACAAAGGGGCACAAGAGCCTTTATTCCTGATGCAAGTCCTGCCCCTGTACCCTTTCCCCATTGGCTGGGGTCGGGTCGTACAATCTAAACTAATTCCGGTTAGCTAAACATTTGATTTTTTTAGATAAGGTGGGCATGTGAAAGAAAGCGGAGAGGAAAGGGGAAGGCATGTCTGTAATAAGCTAGAAAGTTAGTTCTCTTTCCAAATAAGGAAAGGAATGTGAGCTGGTATTGATAATGCTTGGTACTGTGACGTGCCTGGGCATCTAACAAAGGCAAAATGGAAGAAAGGAGAAAAAGGAAAAAAGGAAGGGGGGCACTATGAATTAAAGAATAAAAGACTGATCAGGTTATTTGAAGAGAAACCTCATCATATCTGAAAGCTTCAAGGGAAATTCCAGGCACCTATCTAGCCTTGAGAAGTAAATGAGCCACCAGATAAGCAAGGAGGTAATAACAGCTTAAACCAATAGCCACTCATGGAAGTCAGAGCCACAAGATGTGTTGCTCCCTATAGAAAATAAAGATAACATCTTGACATAGGTCCCTGAGTTATTTTTCAGAAACTCAGACCCCCGCCAAATGGAAAGTGCCAACCACCATCATCACATAAGGGGGAACTGAAGACTGAACTCTGACTGACGTTCTTCATTCTAAATTTCTTCCTGAGGGGCCTGGAGACAGTGACACCCACATGCCAAACCTTAACATTCCTTTCTGCTGATCCCAAGTTTCTAGGCAAAGCCTTGCTTCCTTAACCAATCGCAAATCAAAGAATCTCCGAATCCTGCAACCCCACTTCAAGATATCCTGCCTTTTGGGACCAAACCAATATATAACCCCCACGTATTGATGTATGATTTTGCCAATAACTTCTGCTTTCCTAGAATATATCTCTGCCTTTAAAAAATCTTGCTTGTAAGCCATTGGGGAGGTCAGGTTTTAAGCAATAGCTATCTTATTCTACTTGCTTGGTGCCCTGCAAACAAACACCCCTACTTCTCTTGCTACAGACGTCAGTGTCGGTGTTTGGCTTTACTGCACTGGGTGAGTGTACTCAGGTTCAGTTTAGTAACACCGCAACTTAAGAAAAATAAACCTGGGCCGGGGGTGGTGGCTCACGCCTGTAATCCCAGCACTTTGGGAGGTTGAGGAGGGTGGATCACAAGGTTAAGAGATCAAGACCATCCTGGCCAACATGGTGAAACCTCATCTCTACTAAAAATACAAAAATTAGTTAGGCATTGTGCCGCGCGTCGGTAGTCCCAGCTACTTAGGAGGCTGAGGCAGGCGAATCGCTTGAACCTGGGAGGCAGAGGTTGCAGTGAGCTGAGATTGCGCCACTGCACTCCAGCCTGGCGACAGAGCAAGACTCTGTCAAGAAAGAAAGAAAGAAAGAAAGAAGGAAAGAAGGAAGGAAGGAAGGAAAGAAAGAAGGAAAGAAGGAAAGAAAGAAAGAAAGAAAGAAAGAAAGAAAGAAAGAAAGAAAGAAAGAAAAATAAACCTGTGAGTCATCTATATAGGTGATCACTAAAACCACAAGGGTGGGTGAGACCAACCAGAGAGAGACAGAAGAAAAAAGGACCTATGAAAAAGGCTTGAGGAACTCCAACAACACTTACTTGTCACATACAGAAGAACAGCCTAAAAGGAAAATAAGAATTGGCTAAGGAGGAAGAAAGAAATTTAGGATTATATTGTGTCACGGAGCCAAAGGATGAGTATATTCCAAGGAGAAAAGAAATGTCTATGGAGTCAAATGTGGCCAGGCACAGTTGCTCACGCCTGCAATCTCAACACTTTGGGAGGTTGAGGCTGGAGGATCACTTGAGGCCTGGAGTTCAAAATCAGCCTGGGCCAACATAGCTACAAATTTAGAAAATTAGCCACATGTAGTGGCACATGCCTGTAACCCCAGCTACTCAGGAGGCTGAGGTGGGAGGATTGCTTGAACCTAAGAGTTGGAGGCTGCAGTGAGCCAAGATCACACACCACTGCTACTGCAATCCAGCCTGGGTGACGGAGTGAGATCCTGTCTCTTTAAAAAAAAAAAAAAAAAGAAGAAGGCCAGGAACAGTGGCTCCCACCTGTAATCCCAGCACATTGGGGGGCCCAGGCGGGTGATCACCTGAGGTCAGGAGTTTAAGAGTAGCCTAGCCAACATGGCGAAACCCCGTCTCTATTAAAAATACAAACATCAGCCAAGGTTGGTGGTATGCACCTGTAGTCCCAGCTACTTGGGAGGGTGAGGTAGGAGGATCGCTTGAACCCGGGAGGCAGAGGTTGCAGTGAGCCGAGATCACACCACTGCACTCCAGTCTGGGTGACAGAGCAAGACTCCATCTCGAAAAAAAAAAAAAGTCAGATGTGACAGAATCAGCAGTTATGCTGAAAGTATTTTCACCCTCATAAGAACGTCCCAAAGGTGATTTTATAAGGATGTTCCATATCATCTGATAAAACAGCATAGGTACCAGTTGAGCTTCACAAAAGGGGAACATACATGTAATATGCTTTGTGTGTGGCTCTGTGTTTGCATGCACGCACGTATGCATGTGTTTGTTGGAAATCGACCACTAAGTGCAATTTCAGATTGCCTTACATTTCTAAAGCTAAATGTTGGTTTTATTTTTAAGAAACAGGGTCTTACTCTGTCATCCAGGCTAAACTGCAGGGCTCAAGTAATCCTTCTGCCTTAGCCTCATAAGTAGCTAGGACTACAGGCATGTGCCACCATGCCTGGCTAATTTTTTAACTTTTTGTACAGATGGGCTCTGCCTATGTTGCCCAGGCTAGTCTTGAACTCCTGTCCTCAAGTAATCCTCCTGCCTTGGCGTCCTAAAGTGCTGGGATTACAGGTGTGAGCTATCATGCCCAACTTTCATTTTACTATTTCAAAATCTGTAACTATTAACATCTGGAATCTTAATAATGTAACTAAACACTGCTATTAAGTAACTGTTAATTACATTTATATCTTATTATCATATTCAGGAATAAGAATCTAGAAGAAAATACAACAAACTGTTAAACTCTGGGAATAAGACTGACAGACGGGTTTTCTGAGTTACATGCTTTCATATAATAGTTGTGTATTTTTTACAATAGTCTTGCATTGCTGTTGTAATAAAATAGAAGATTTTAAAAACTCAAGGGTCCTGGGTATCTAAGAAAGAAACATTAACTATAGAGATTATTTGATGGTAGAGATGGTAGATATTAGAGAGATATAATGACGGTACAGGATGGTTTGGGTTTTCTTTGTGGGAGGGTGGGAGAGAGGAGGAAGAGAAAAAGCTAAAATATCACTTAACACCCTCTGTCCATCTTTTCTCCAGTTCCTCACCATTAACATCATCTCAGTAATCCAGACTAAGAACCTTAATTTTACATGCATTATCAACAACTCCTTTTTATTTGTCACCCATATTTAGGAATTCACCATATTCTATCAATTTTACCTCATAATAATGCAACCTTCTATTTTCTTTTTTATCCCCATGATTATTATCTCAGTGATTTTCAAGCTTTTTAAAATAGCAGAATCCCTTTTTTCCCTAAGAAATTTGACATAAAGTCATTTAAAGTCACACCAAAGCTATTTTTAGAAATACAGTTTTTGGCTGGGCGCGGTGGCTCACGCCTGTAATCCCAGCACTTTGGAAGGACGAGGTGGGCAGATCACCTGAGGTCGGGAGTTTGAGATCAGCCTGACCAACATGGAGAAACCCCGTCTCTACTAAAATACAAAATTAGCCAGGCGTGGTGGTGCATGCCTGTAATCCCAGCTACTTGGGAGGCTGAGGCAGGAGAATTGCTTGAACCCGGGAGGTGGAAGTTGCCATGAGCCGAGATCGTGCTGTTGCACTCCAGCCTGGGCAGCAAGAGCAAAAAACTCCATCAAAAAAAAAAAAAAAAAAGAAATACAGTTTTTATAGTAACTTTTACTTACTCTAATATCAATAAGTGATGATGAGACAGTTTTAAATACAAAATTTGAAAGTAGGAGTTAGGGATGAGAGTTAAAGCTTACATCAATCTACCATTTAGTTTACATTTATCTCTCTTACACATTATTAAGAAAATCCTGATTCATCCATCTATACAGTTGCAAATGGTAACATTTTACAAACTTTATTTTGATATTAAGCTAACTCTTCAGATGAATGGTAGCAAGGGAACCTTGGCTCTGTGGTCTGCACAAAAATGGGTTATCTTGGCAAAAACAGCTGGTTCAAATGTGGAATTAAGCATCTTCAAATTTGATTGTGCAGTTCTTTTTTAACAAGTTTTTCACTGTTAAAAATATAATTTAGAAATGAAATTTGCATCAAACTTCAAAAGAACCCCTGAAGCACCTCTATGTGGCACAATTCGGTACATACTGTTACCTTACTTAACTCTTATCTGGGCTCTTACATTACCTCTCCTGTCTCCCAGTGTATCCTCACTTCTGTTTTCCTTACATGCAGCTGTCTGATTAATCTTGCTACAGCACAGATACTGTCTGCACAGACATGACTTAAGTCTGGTTCCTGGCACTTGAAGCCCCCTGTGATATGAACCCAATCCAATTTTCAAGTCTCTTCCTCATTCCCCACCCAAATTCCACACTCCAGCAAAGGCACTGTTTTCCATTTCTAAAACAGATAGTTTTCAACCACACAGCCTTTTCTTATAAATCTTATATATCTGTCTGGAAGTCTCCTATCTTACTAACTGCACCTCAGAAATTTATGCTTATCTTTTAGAGCTCAGCTCAAACCCCATAACTCTGCTCAATGTTACTCTCACCTCTAAATATGCTAAAGAATTCTGAATTTCAAAATAGTTAATCACATCTACACTAAATTGTATGTTAAAAGGGATCATGTCAATTTTTTTTAGTACTGCGTGTGAAATCTATATAAAACCTGACTAATAAATGAGATGAATGTTTAAAACTACCCAGCAAGTGATGGAAATCTAAAACTGGATTATGGTGATGGTCACATAGCTCAAAAAATGGACTCAATATCACCAAATCGAGCACTTAAAATGGGTGAATTTTTATATACCTCAATGAAGTTGTTTTTTAAAAGCAAGAACACACAAAAAGTACAAAAGAGGTTACTAAGAACTAGGGGAAGCAGGGAAGGAGGTTTAATTATTTAATATGTTTAATATGTACAGTTTCTGTTAGTATAGTGTTATGATATTCACATTGGTTTTTGTCCAGGTTCTTGGCTTGTAACTCCCATAGCCCTCGTTATAGTCTTTTGTTATAATGTTATAATGTTAGTCTTTTGTTATGTTTTGTTACAATGTTGTTATAATGTTATAATATAATGTTAAAACAAACATGGTAACAGCCCTTTCCCAAAAGAAACCCCCTTCTTGCCTGGGGACTAGACTGCCACCGTAGGACTAACAAAATAGCCACAAGATTAGAAATTATGGTTTAGGAGTCATGCAGCTGGAGGCTACAAGATTCTGACCCGCCCTAAACTGCTAAGATCAGTGCTTGGGATATTTTGCAGACCCTGCACTTGATGGATCAGCTGGCACCACCCAGATGGATAAACTGGCTCATCTGATCTTGTCCCCACCCAGGAACTGACTCAGCACAAGAGGACAGCTTCAGCTTCCCATTATTTCTTCTTCTGACCCAACCAATCAGCACTCTCGACTCACTGGCCTTCCCCAACCCACCAAATTATCCTTAAAAACTCTGATCCCCGAATGCTCGAGGAGACTGATTTGAGTAATAAGAAAACTCTGGTCTCCAGCAAAAAAAAAAAAAAAAAAAAAGGCACAGCTGGATAATGATTTAAGGACACTAAACCATACGTAATTTTGAAATTTAGGGACGAATGCAGGATTCTGCAGTCAGTACACAATACTATCAACTGAGTAAAAAGAAAAAAAAAGAATCCAATGAGGTTTCTTAAAAATACTGGAAAAAAAAAATTATCTTCACCATCAGCTGATAATGATTGCTAATGATTGCTAATTTGTTAAGTTCTATACTAAGTAAGTTATCATTATATTGCTCCATTCTGTAGAATTCTCAGTATTTTATATATGCAGAAAACAGAAGAACTTTCTAAGCCTTGGTCTGTTTCTCACTTAATAAATATCACAATAAATAAGGACTTCCAGTCTTCTCTCATCATAGATAAGAGGTGCTACCTACCCGAATAGTTACTGTGTGATTGGCAGATGGTCTCAAGAGAGGCAGCCGGATCCCACACCGAGGCATTCTTCTCATCTCCTCAATGGGAGTTCCAAGCCACTTCTTATCTGGAGAAAGGTGAGGTGGAACGTATTTAGGGATCTTCCTTTCTGTTCTTTGATGTTTGGTTTCCCACTGTTCTTTTCTAAGGTCAAGACAAATGTATTTAGTCACAAATTATTTACTGTTTTAATTCCCTTAGATACACAAGCACAAAACTTACCCAGACGTTATTGTTTAAAGTATGCCATACTTGGTCACTCACTTCGTTATGTATTATATTTACAATCAAAAGAAAAACCTATAAAGCTTATAAAACTCAAGAGCTTATTTTCAACAGTCTGTGGAAGAAAGTTCCAAACACATGTAAATCACCTTCTCAAAACAGAAATGAGTCATGGTTCACAGTATCATCTACACAGTAATTTTCAATGAAGTGAACTCACTATTGCATGCTGATTGCACTATCTCAGGAAACTCAAATCACAGAAATCATGGATGGGATTTAAGATTCCATATGGGGTAACGGCAAAATATAAGCTTTGTAATATGACACACCTGGATTTAAATCCCAGCATTACCACTCAGAAGGTACATGATTCCAGTGAATTCTCTTACCCAAATCTCAGTTATCTCATTTAGTGAGTATAATACCATCTGTCTGCCTGTCACGGCATTAAACAAAGTGTAAAAAAAAAAAAAAAAGTGTAATATACAATGGTCTAGAAGAATGTCTGGCTGAAGAAACAGTAGCTACTATCAACCTAGTATTTTCATGTTCTAGCAATTCCCATAAATACCAAAAGGAAACTCATGAAACTAAAAATCTGATTTCTAATATTTATTTTATTTCTTGTTTTCTGTTTCTAGCCTTTTTAGAGTTTAAACTTTGGAGTCTAGGTTTAAATTTAGCATAAGTAGTTAACAAGAAACAAAACCATTTCTTTGCTTTACTAGAAATCACAGCTTCGTTAAACTCCCTTACAAAACTATAAAGCATATTATGCTATTGGAGAGATACTGCTGAGAGAAAATTACCTTCTGTCCTCTGCTTTGGGCAGTCTCATGAAATGATCTGTGATTTTAGAATCCTTTTTTCCATGTTGCTTAGAATTTCTGCATTCTACATTCAGGCTAGAAATATTTCCAGGTAGTTTAGCATTTAAATCATTCATTCCAGTGCGACTCTCTCCTCCTTCAAATTGGAAATGTAATCTAACTTCACCGCCCTTAGTAGAGTACCGTTTCCTAAATTCAATGTCAGCGTCTCTTGCTTGGAACCTTGAAGGTTTATTTGCTGTTTGGGAGGAACTACCATCTTCTTGTTCATCAAAACCTGGACTTGTCTCCTCATCTGCTTCTGAGTCTTGACAACTATTTTTAGAATTATCCACATCCATCGGTGACTCGGGTTCACTTTCCTTCTCAAATGGAGGAGAATTTCCTAGGCAACTTTCTTGTCTAGTCAATTTGTTGTCATTTTTTGGCCCAGTACCAACATCCTCAGAGCCAACATCTGACAATGGACTCTCTGGCACCACATCTATCTCATCTTGCTGACAACTTGCACAGTCTTCCCCAGGATCGCAAGACTTGCTGCACTTCTGGTGGCTTTTGGCTTCTCTGGCCTGTTCATCTTCTGTAGTCTGCTTTGCATTTGCAAGCTTTACAGTTGTGAGAAACTGTTGATTGTCTCTATTCTCTTCACTATCTGTGTCACTGTGATCATCATTTTGAGGTGACCGATCAATGTTAGCATTACTAAACTGCTCTGGTACCAGGGTTACTGTTTGAGGTTCACTTTCCAAAAGCTGCTCCGTGTGTTTCCCTTCATTTTGCCACTTACACATTGCTGCAGTCTGATGCTGGTTCAAATACTGTGTACTTTTTTCAGTGGGTGACTTATCAAGACTTAGCTGAGAAACATTTTCTAATTTTTCTACATTATGTTGGTAAAAGTTATCTTTTTGTACAGAACTCATCATGGATTCTATTCTTGTATTGTTGTTTTCTTTACTATCCAAACTACAAGAGAACAGAAAGAACTAAAAACAACTTATAATACAAAAAAGTCACTTATCCAATCATACCCCCAGTGTCACAGCAGTAATTAAACTCCCTGTGGTCAGCTGAGCACACAGCATGTCTTCTATGACTCCATGTCTTTGTATGTGATCCCTAATGCCCTCCCTGCAGCTGTGTGTCTGGCAAACACCCGCCTTTCCTTCAAGTCATAAATGTCACTCACCTCTCTGTGCAGTCTTCCTTTAGGGACCAAAGGTAAAGTTGAACATTTGTTTCTTCTACACACTAACCACCACTGTGCCTTGCTCATACCTTTACTATTGCATCTATCACACCAGGCAGTAATTATGTGTTTTTGTGTCTGTGGCCACTGCTACACTGTAAGTATCTTAAAGACACAGACTGGCCGGGCGCAGTGGCTCACACCTGTAATCCCAGCACTTTGGGAGGTCGAGGCAGGCAGATCACGAGGTCAGGAGATCAAGACCATCCTGGCTAACCCGGTGAAACCCCATCTCTACTAAAAATACAAAAAATTAGCCAGGCGTGGTGGTGGGCGCCTGTAGTCCCAGCTACTTGGGAGGCTGAGGCAGGAGAATGGCGTGAACCCAGGAGGCAGAGCTTGCAGTTAGCCGAGATCACGCCACTACACTCCAGCCTGGGCAACAGAGTGAGACTCCATCTCAAAAAAAAAAAAAGACACAGACTATTCCTCTCTCATCTTGGTATCTCAAGTATACAGGACAGTCCCTGGCATACAGGACTCTCTAAAAAATTACTTATAAGTTGATTTTGAATTAACATAGATAAAGGAGAACAGAAAAGCATGAACAAAGAGAGAAAATATTAAAGCAACAAGATAAAACATCCATGTATTATTATTCATTTCTCTACATAGGAATGTTTCTATACCTTTCTGATTCCGCTGTCTTGATTCCTTTAGTGTCCATCCAACTGGTAATAGTCTTTTGTTTGAAAACTATAAAAAAAAATGTATATTCATACATTCCTTCAAATATAAAACATATACAGCATATTGTACATGCAAGGAACTATGCTAGGTTCTACAGGTTAAACAAAAGATTAATAACTCAAGTATTTGCCCTCAAGTATATGGGTAAGACAGGAACATAAATGTTAATACATATGACACAGGGTAGAAAATGACTGGTGCCTAAAAGAGTTGGTATGGCCTAATGGATAAGAGCATAGGCTATGGAATCAGAACATCTGTATTCAAATCCTGATTCTCCCATTAGCTTCCTATGTTACTCTGTGAGGGGTCATTTCTCTGTATCTCAGATCCCTCATTTGTAAACATGCAAAATAACTATCTCATGAGATAAGGCTTAATTAAGTAAAAATAGTTCATGTAAAGCATTTAGGGCATTATCTGGTTTACGCTTAGTAAATGTTGATTCTTAATTATCATGATTATTAAAAGAGGTCCTGATAAAGGAATTAAGGTTATTTCTGAGGAAGACACTACTTCAGTGAACAGGAGAACATGGGCATAATCGGTAAGATTTCTTCGGAAAAGGTAAGGCTTGACTTATGCCTTGAAAAGTAAACATGCAGTCACATAAAGAGAAAATTATAAGCAAAGGCACCAATATCAGGGAAATATAAAGAACTTAAAAAGAAAGCAAAAGAAAATATGGTTGAAAAGTCAGCCAGGATCATACCATACAATAGGATCTTGAATGACCCACAAAGAGAAGCACAAAAAATGTGTTGAAAGACATGATTCCTCTCATCTAGGAGGCTCACAGTCATGCATGACAGCCTGGAGGATAAATCTGAGGGGCAAGAGGGAAGAGCTTATTGCCAGAAACTAGGGAGGAAGCTACTAGTCCAGGTCAGTGGTTCCCAAACTATCTGGATCATCAGGAAGCCAGCCACACCCCAGTCCTTCTGAATCAGAATCTATATGTGAGTAGGATGAAGGCATGAGGGGAGCTGGAATCTATTTTTTTTTTTCCAAAAGTGATTCTGATGATCCACTAGATTGAACAGTTACTGGCCAAGAACATAAACTAGTCCTTGTGAGAGTAGTAAAAGTGAGGAGAGTCATTACAGACTTCACAATAATAGGGGAAGTTAAAAGTGACTTTAAGCTTTGAGCTTGAGAGACTTGAAAAATGATGACAGCCTTAAGTAGAAATATGGAATACAAGAGAATTGTGTTTAGGGAAGAAATACGATTAGGTCGATTCTGCCTATACTAAATTTGAGATGCCAAAGAAGTAACTAGATAGAAAACCATATCACTACTTCTGGCTTCCTAAGGTTTCCTTCCTAACACATCAGCAGACAGTAGCAAAAGTAGAATTGATAGCTCAGGAGAGGGAGATGCAATATAAATAAATACAAGCCACATTTTATATAATCATTAGAAATAAGTGTGCTGTCAAAATTTAATATACTGAATAGGGATTAAATGTACATCATATTTTAGTATCAGAAATAAAATCTTAAACATTCGCAAATGTTTAAGATTTGAGATACTCACTAAATTGCAATGTAAGAATCTTAGCATCCTAAGTCACAGGATCTTTCTTATTTACCTACCTCTCCTAAAACACCATATGGAGCAAAACAGATGCAGGCTCAAATATACAAAAATCAATGGTTTATTTTTCATTGAAATAATGGCATAATCGAAATACATTTCAGATGGGGAGAATTTTATACCAGAAAAATATTCAATTGCTATATAATCTTTACCTTCCACAAAATACTTATAATCCAGCTAGTAAAAATCTTTGATTAATGTTTCAAAAATAGTTTAATAGTTTCTATCACAAAAAAGTAATCACGCATAGTGATTTCTTATTGTTAAACACCATTACTTCCACGATTTTATTTAGCTTTCTGCAGCAGATCAGGCTTCAGAGAAAAAATGAGCTTCAGTCAGAGGGAGTAAGAGGATAAACCATTTGATTCTGAAACTTTTTCTATAGTTCTGTATTCTCTATTTATTTTCTTTATATCAAATACAGCAAGTATAGTTTAGAAAATCCTCAAATTGGGCCGGGCGCAGTGGCTTATGCCTGTAATCCCAACACTTTGGGAGGACGAGGCAGGCGGATCACAAGGTCAGGAGATTGAGACCATCCTGGCTAACATGGTGAAACCCCGTCTCTACTAAAGATACAAAAAATTAGCCAGACGTGGTGGCGGGCGCCTGTAGTCCCAGCTACTCGGGAGGCTGAGGCAGGAGAATGGCGTGAACCCGGGAGGTGGAGCTTGCAGTGAGCGGAGATCGCGCCACTGCACTCCAGCCTGGGCGACAGTGTGAGACTCTGTCTCAAAAAAAAAAAAAAATCCTCAAATTACAAACCAGTAATATGCCAAAACATTCATTTTTTGAGTTGGTTTAGAAGTTAAAACATCTTTTTTCCATAAATGTAAGGATTAATGTTAAGATGCAATGACTAGGTTCCTATAACACACACGAAGCACGTACTCCTGTGATAAGTCTACAGAACCTAAAGACTGCACACATCATTTCATGAAAAACCAGGAGTGTTCCAGTGATGGCAAAGAAGAAGAGAGCTCTCTCCTGTAGCCCTGACCCTGAGAATGTGTTCTCTCTCTAGTTTCAGGCTTCCTGAAGCCTGGGGAAGGGATGAAGGAGGAAAAGCAAGAGATAAGGAACCAGTATCTTCTGCTAATAAAACATTGATCAGTCCTTCTTAGGGCCTCAGAGAAAGGACTGCTTACTGCTCTTTGCAATATCACTGTTTCTGGCTTCCTAAGGTTTCCTTCCCAGCACACCACAGGACTGTGTCAGAGCTTTATCCCTCTTACTCCTGAAGTAAGCATAAAATTATGCTTTCCAGGTTTCCTAGGAATTTTAACTAGAAATAGTCACAGCAAGGCAAAAAGAGTGGCAATAAGAAGTGATGAAAAGATACAAGATCTAGAGTCAGATAGTCTTGGATTGAGATCTTTGTTCAGTCACTTACTAGTACCACCTTGGTCCAGTTGCTTCACTTCGTTAAGCCTTTATTTCCTCACCCAGAAAATGAAGCTAACAACACCTACTTCTAAGGGTTATGTGGATCAATTACAAAGCAAAAATTAGAGAAAATATTGTGTTCAGCCTCACAAAGCACTCAATATGTTATCTCCCGACATTTCCACCCAGTCTTTTTTTTTTCCACTGAGATCAGTAATTCTCCAACTTTGACTTCACACCATTTACATTTACTCTCATCAGCAACATTATTCAGTACCCAGTATATTTTAATCAGCAAGTCATTCAATTAATAGCTATAGATACAGCCAAAAGGCACAAAACGCAATAAAATTCACCTGCATGTCAAAGGAACATTCCACTTTCACAAAAAGTCTATAGCAACACATCTGGATAAACCTGCGTCATCACAATGTGAATAACATGCTGAGTTCTGCCAATATGCAGGTTTGCAGATTTTTTTTTTCTTTTTTCAGAAGTGGGGTCTCGCTATGTTGCTCAGGCTGGACGGGAACTCCCGGGCTCAAGTGATCCTCTTGCCTTAGCCTCCCAAGTAGCTGGGACTACAGGTGCATGCCCAGCAAAATTAGCGATTTCAGTCAATACAAGAAATATATCCAGGAAGATAAAGAATATAAAATTTAAAGATACTGAATAAATATCCATTTCGCTACCCCGCCTACTTGTCCTAAGATAATTATATATAAAAATTTAAATACCAAGTTCCTAAAGGAATCCCAAAAATTCAAACAATGGGCTTTTGATACAAATATAGTCTTCGAACATTCTGTTAATTGGTGTCCTGTGCCAGGTATACAGAAAACATTTAAACATGCGAAATACAGCCCCAAGTATTCATTTGGTACCTCTTCTGCAGAAATCTTAATTAAGATCCAACCAGTGAGGACTGACTGCCCTCACCCCTATTTGCAACTAACTCCTCCTCCTTTACATGCAAATAAGGTTAATGAAACCACAAATTATCCAGTCACAGAAGCTGAAGTACACCTGAACGTATACCTGAAGTTCACCTTCAGTTCTCTCTCCCCTATACCAAGTTCTCTGAAATCTACATCCTAAATTTTAAATCCATCCCTTCCTCATACCCTTTAAACACATCGCTTACTAGACAACTGCCATTTGTTTCTTGCAACTAGTCTCCCTGTCTACAGCCTTGACTATCCAGTGTTCTACAAACTACAAATGACCAGTCATTTTTCAATGAAATAACACAGACAATATAAGAATGCATCACACATAGTAAGGTTAAGTATTATTTCATGAAACATTTATTTCAGTTATAAATATGGCTTATTTGCCAGGTTACATATATTTCTTACTCTGTGTACTGGATAAAATTTATGCTGTGGGTTGCAGTTAGAAAAGTCCAAAAGCCACTTTTCTAAAATATTAACCAAATGGTATTCCCACGCTTAAAAGCTTTTTAGTGGTTTCTCCATTAACCACAGAATAAGGTTGAAATTCCTTAAAATGGAATTTGAGTTTCTTCATAAGCTCCTGTCTGCCACCCAGCCTCATCAGACACTCCTCTGTCATCTTATGCTCCAGTCTTACCAACTTTTGCATGTCTTATTTCCTCTGCATGTATAATTCTTTCTCCTCTTGATTTATACAGCAAATCTTCCTCATCCTTCAAGGCCTAGTGCAAGTCTACTTGGTACTGCCCCTAAGTATGAAGACATCTAAGTGTAGACTCTTCACCAGAGAACTGCCCGAGCTCTGCCCAGCCTCTTACACTGTTAACGAATGCATCCTTTTTGAAATGATCTCCTTTGTCTGACACAACACAAGCCAGGCTTTCCTCCCACCTCTACAGCCGCTTCTCTTCAGTCTACTCTTAAACTTTGGTGTTCCTAAGGCATCTGCCCTAGGTCACCTTTACTTTCTCTACATGTTTATGTTATCTATGCCCATAGCATCCATTATAATGTTTATGCCACGAACTCCCCAATCTACTTCTCCAGCACAGAAATATTTCTTCTCAAGTATCCCATTCTTTCATGAATCCATCCCCTTCCCTATTGCCAGCATCCAGGCCTAAGCTACAATTATTTCCAACCTAGATTAACTCCTTAACTGAGTCTTGATGCTCCACTTGAGTTCCTTTTCAATCCATTCTTTATTTTCCACACACCAGCCACACAGACTTTTCAACAAATAAATAAGTCTAATCAAGTCACTCCCCTACTAAAAACCCTTGAGTAGCTTATCAATGCCCTTAGAGTTCAAAATCCTTAGCAATGTCTACATATCCAATTTGATCTGACTTTTCTGTACCACCCTGCAGCCTCATCTCTCACACTCTCTTGCGTTCACTCTATATATCAATTGCACTCCTGTTTTTGTTTTGTTTTGTTTTGTTTTGTTTGAGGCGGAGTTTCGCTCTTGTTGCCCAGGCTGGAGTGCAATGGTGCCCTCTCGGCTCACTGCAACCTCCGCCTCCCGGATGCCAGCGATTCTCCTGCCTCACCTGCCTCAGCCTCCCGAGTAGCTGGGATTACAGTTGCCCGCCACCACGCTAGGCTAATTTTTTGTATTTTTAGCAGAGACGGGGTTTCACCATATTGGTAAGGCTGGTCTTGAGCTCCTGACCTCAGGTGATCCACCCGCCCCAGCCTCCCAAAGCTCAGGGATTACAGGCAAAACCACCGCGCCCGGCCTCGGTTGCACTCCTGAAACACTTCTTACTTCCTCTTCATCTAACTCCTACTCATTCTACAGTCCTCAGAATAAGCATCTCATCTTCTGGAGGACTATTTTCGATTCCATAAATTCAGTTAGGTAAAACAATCTGTCATTCATCTATCAGAACATCCATTACCTTTTATTATATTAACTTTTGCTATCGTCTATCTCTCCAGATAGATTTTAAGGTATGAAGGCAGAGGCCAAGTTTCTCTCGTTCAACACTGTATACCAGGGACGGGTACAATGCCAGCTTAAACTAATAGCTCTGCACCCTGGGACCCAGAATCTGAACAAGTGAAGTTGTTTTCTTCCTATCTAGAGGCTGAAGCGCCCTACTGTTTTACATACACAATTAGATCTCCTTGACGACTAAGGCAATTTCTCAATCAAACCTGAAGAAGCAAACAGGTGGTGGAGTCTCCTGCCATTTTCCGCCCTGTGAGTGACTGCTCATCAGAGTTTCTCACATCAATCGCACTGGGAAAAATGCGGCCCCATTCACCCACTAGTGGCTTTGGTAGCTCAGCAAGTGGACCTCAAGAGTGACGATGCACACAAGACCAGAAAGGAGTGACTGGAGCCCCTGGGTCCTCAGACTGAGACCAGAAGGTTCGGGCCGAGGCGAAGGACAAAGATTTTTATTTTCCCACGTACCAAGCGAGGTGGCGCTGCCTCTGTGCTGTCCCGCCCGCCCTGGGACGCAGGCTGGCGAGGACGGTGGGACCCTGAACTGCACGTGAGCGTCCTTGGGGTCGAGGACGCGCCTCTGCCTGCTGGGAAAGCTCCGGGCGTCCGAAGCAGCCGGCGAAGTTGTAGCGGCGCCCCAGCGGGGTCGCTTGGTGCAGGGTTCACAGCCGGGGCCCGCATTCATGCTGGGACCAGCAGCGCACTGTCCCCGGGCCGGCCCGGGCGGAGAGCCTCATTCACTAACCCTGAGAGAGATGGACTGCGCCTCCTTCTCAGCGCCTGCCTGCACCATTCCCTCTCTGCCGCTGCCTGCTTCTGCAATTGCTGATCCGCCGGCCTCCCAAGTCAGGCCGTAAACACTCGCCTGCCTTCCCTCTTCCACTGGCACCCCACCTGCCTCAATGCGCCGCTTTGATTCGGGATTCGTTCACTTTCCCACCACCGGAAAGCTGCCGTCAGGCGCTTCCGGCTTCCGGGGCGCACACTGCCGCAAAGCGGAAGTGTGGCGCTTAACGGGAACCGGCGCCCGGAATGTCAGCGTGTGAAGTAGGCGCTGGCAACGCGGGGTTACCCGCTGTTATTGAGGAGTAACGGCCCAGCGGACCACCCAGGCTTGAGGCAGCGGCGGGAACCACTCGGTTTGCTGCGATACCATGGAAGGAGGCGGGGGAAGCGGCGACAAAACCACAGGGGTATTGGCCGGCTTTTTCGGAGCCGGCGAAGCAGGTTACTCGCACGCGGATTTGGCTGGCGTCCCGCGTAAGTATGGGGCCTAGCTTGCGATTATTTCTGACTGGTTCTTGCGTTTACACTAAAGTTGCGCGTCCCATGTTTTATGTTGTTGGTTTTTTTTTCCTTGCTGGCGTTTACAAGCTTAAGTACCAGTGGTGGGGTTAGTGTATCTGCATGGCTGCTCTTTCAAGATAGAAAGGCCTAAAAAAGGGCCACGGATCTCCTGGGGAAGCTGTCCGTGATTGACCTGGACTCGCGAGATGATGCATGTTTTCTTAGGTTTATATCCAAGCCTCGTACGTTTTGTGTGTGGTGGGCCGTGTGATTGACCCTTAAGAGTAGAGCCCAGCTTTGGGAGTAAATGTATTCCAAATAGCAAGCCCGTAGTTAACTTTTTAGTACACAGTGACATATTCTGAGCCTCCAAGTAGCCGTAAGGGCAGAATATTCAGTAATATTGCATGTAAGTGAGAAATAAATATGACTTGGGACAGGCTAGGAAACCTTCTTTAGGAGCTAGGAAGTAAGCTGAACTTTAAAGGTGATATATAGACATGAAGAAAGAAGCCAGGTAAGAATTATAGGAAAGGAAATAGGCAACATCAAGGTATACAGAGGCATAAATATCTTGCCTTTGCCTCTCCTCGGTCTTGTGAATATGTTTTCCAGAACTTTGGTACTTTGTAACTGTGGTTGTTCAACTAGATAAATAGAACTTGGACCTAAAGATAGGCAGTTGGTCGTGGATAAAGCCTTTACGAAAGTACTTTCTTTTTAGAGAATCCTTGTAATATTTCTCTAGGTATTTTATACTAAGGAACAACAACAACGAAATATGTTCAGACTGACTCTAGTGCAAAAAAATATAAAAGACCTTTCATTTCCCTGGTGTCACCTTTGTCAAAAAACTGAATCTACAACACATGGTGTTTTGTTTCGTTTTTTTTTTGTTTGTTTTTAGAGTCAGGACCTCGTTCTGTCACCCATGTTGGGGTGCGGTGGCATGATTATAGTTCACTGAAGCCTGGCACTCCTGAGCTCAAACAATCCTCCCCTCTAAGCCTCCTAAGTAGCTGGGAATCTAGGTACGTACCACCACACCTGGCTAATTTTTAAAATTTTTTTTTTGACTTATTGTGGAGATGGGGTCTCCCTGTGTTGTCCAAGCTGGTCTCAAACTCTCGAACTCAGGCCATCCTCCTGTCTCGGCCTCCCAAAATGCTGGGATTCCTAGGCCTGAGCTACTACTTTACCTGTTTAGAACACAGTTTCATATTAATCTTAGTATTTCTGAGTTTCAGAGCACAAAGGGCATATACACTTCCTTAATGTGACAATATTGTTAAATTAATTTGATTAAGATTTGAAGGTAAATTGGGGGACCAGGGAATGAACACCATTTACTGAGCTTTTACAGTGTGCTAGCTACTTTTCTGGGGGCAGGACTATAGTGGTTTTTGTGGGTTTTTTTTTTTTTTTTTTTTTTTGAAAAGAGGACCCTTGCGCTCACAGAGCTTACATAATACTGAGGTAAACCAACAAACATAAATTAAAACATTGCCTTTAGTGATAAGTGCTGTAAAGGGAATAAAGCAGAGTCATGAGATTGTGATGGAAGCAGGATGCCATTTTAGAGCGGATTAGGGAAAACATCTCAAGGGAGTTGACATTTGAGCTGTGACCCAAATACAGTACAAATGCTTGGGAGGCAAGTATCCAGGAAAATAGCTAGTGCAAATGTCCTGAAACAAAACAAATTTGGCATGTTTAAGGAACAGCTCTTAGGCCAGTCTGTCTTCGTAGTTACAAGGGAGTTGGATCAATTGAAGCTTGTGAAATCAGAGAGGTAGGGAATGACAGCTAATGTAGGATTTTGTAAGTTATGGTAAGGAGTTTCGATTTTCTTAAGAAAAATCACGTAGTTGCTATGTAGACAGTGAATTGAAGGGGTAAGAGAAAGCAAGGAGTTAGGAAATTGTTGCTGTGAGATATGATGGTTGGACTAGGATGGTAGCAATAGAGAAGATAAGTAACACAATTCAAAATGGGTATTAAAAATAGAACAAGCAGGACTCCTAATTGATGAAAAGATAGAGGCATGGGTGATGCATAGGTTTGTAAATAACTGCTGAGATACAGAAGGATCCAAAGATGATAGGTTTTACTGTTTTCAATGTTAGTGAATTCAGGTCTGGCCCTCTCAAAGTTTGTGTTTTCTTTTGCACAGACCCACATACCTGTGGTAATGACCCAAGGATTCTCAACCTTGCCACAGTAAATCAATCGTTAATAGTAATATGTGAAGGAACTGCCTTGAAATAGTTAGATACAACATGTACACAGTCAGAAAACCCAACCCAACCACTGTTTTTCCCATGGAATTGATTAGTCTTTTCTCAGTCTTATTTTGTAATTTATATAGTCACCAAGCATTCTTGTAGTAAAGTGAAAGAAATTAGCTTTGTAAATGGCCTGGACTACACTTCCTGTAAGTTCAAAAATCAGATCTATGACACTGCGATTATCTTATTGGTGTAAAAGCCTGAGCCACCAGTGGAAGACCTGGTTTGGGATTGAGGGTCTCAGGATGAGTCAGCCCCCAAACTGACAGATAGGGAGGATAAAATGGGAAAAAATTTTCTGCCTTCAGTGAGCCTATAAAAATTGCAAACACATGTAACAATCAGGAGCTGGATTAACTCTAACTGGATTAACTTAAAGAATTTTGTTGCAATGTGACATTTTGTTTTCTCTCTAGTAACTGGTATGAACCCTCTGTGTCCTTATTTAAATGTGGATCCACGATACCTCGTGCAGGTAAGACTAAGATTTTACTAGTTTGGTGCATTATTTTACCATTTTTAAAAAAACGCCAAGTGCTATGCTGACTTGAACTATGACATACACTTCTGGAGGCAGTAAGTCTCTGGTCTCCATTCACCCTTTTTTCCTCACAAACACCAGGAGCTTGGCCTGCATCTCTCTGAAACCAGTTAACTCCCTTCAAAAGCTTATTTTTTAAAACCAGAGCAGAATTAATTTTTGAAAGCACCCCAATAAAAGTATTGGGATGCCTAGTTACAAAGTGTGTGGGGTTTTTTTGTTTGTTTGTTTGTTTGTTTTTGAGCCAGAGTTTTGCTTTTGTCCTCCAGGCTGGAGTGCAGTAGCGCGATCTCTGCTCACTGCAACCTCAGCCTCCCAAATTCAGGCCATCGTCCTGCCTCAGCCTCCCGAGTAGCTGGGACTACAGGCGCCCATCACCACGCCTGGCTAATTTTTGTGTTCTCAATAGAGACCGGGTTTCACCATGTTGGCCAGGCTCCCAAAGTGCTGGGATTACAGGCAAAGTGTGTTTTAAAGCTCAGTTTACAATATCAGGGTTTTTTTGACTAAGCATCAAAAGTTTCAAAGAGTATCTTTTTGAATCCAAGATATATTAGCAAATATATCTTGGGTATATTAGAAAAGCAAGGTTGTTTTAACATCTGAAAATTAATGTATTGTGCCATATCAATTTATAATAAAGCAATCAAGGAAAGAATATAGTACAAAGACCACATGCTTATCTCAATAGATTCACAAAAATCATTTGACAACATCCAACACCCCCTTTAATGATTATAAAAACAAACTAGGCTGGGCGCAGTGATTCACACCTGTAATCCCAGCACTCTGGGAAGCTGAGGTGGGCAGATCACTTGAGGCCAGGAGTTTGAGACCAGCCTGGCCAACATAGCGAAACGCTGTTTCTACTAAAAATACAAAAATTAGCCAGGCGTGGTGGTGCCTACCTGTAATCCCAGCTGCTTGAGAGGCTGAGGCACGAGAATCGCTTGAACCCTGGATACAAAGGTTGCAGTGAGCTGAGAACACCCCACTACACTCCAGCCTGGGCAACAGAGTAAGACCCTGTCTCTAAATAAATAAATAAAACTAGACATAAAAGGGACTTCAGCCTGTTAAATGCCATCTACAGAATATCCAAAGCTAACATAATTTAATGGTGAAAGACTGAATGCCTTCTCCCTAAGATCAGGAACAAAATAAGTATATTTACTCTCATTTATATTCAGCATTGTCTGGCCAGGGCAATTAGTCAAGTACATTAAATGGCATTCAAGTTGAAAAAGAAGTTAAACTATCTGTTTACAAATGACATGATCTTATCTATAGAAAATCACAAGGGAAATCACAAAAATCTGTTAAAACTAATGATCGAGTTCAGCAAGTTGCAGAATACAAGTTCAATATACATAAATATATTTCTAGACAGTTGCAATGAACACTACAAAAATGAAATTACAAAAAACAGTTGATTACCAATAACATCAAAAAGCAAATACTTAGAAATAAATGGACCAGGTGCAAAACATATTCTGAAAACTATAAAACATTATTGAAATTAAGTGGAAAGACACATGCTATGATCCTGAAAATTTTAATATTAAAATGGCAGTGCTCACCAAATTAACCAACAGATTTAGTGCAGTGCCTGTCAAAATCCCAGCTGGCTTTTTTGCAGAAATTGACAAGCTTTTATCCTAAAATTCATATGGAAATTCAGGGGACATAGAATGGCCAATGACCTTGAGAAAATAGATTGGAGGACTTGAACTTGCCAATTTCAAAACTTTCTACAGAGCCACATCATGATAGTAACATAAGAATAAATCCATAGTTAATGAAATACAGAGTCCAGAAGACAGACCTTATACAATATACGCAGTCACTTGCTTTTCAACAAGGATGCCAAAATAGTTAAGTCAGGGGAGACGTTAGGACAACTGGAATCCATATGCATAAGAATGAAGTTGAACCCTAACCCTGCACCATATGCAAAATGTTACCACCAAATGGATTAAAGACTTAAATGTAAACCGAAGCAGTCAAACTCTTAGAAGAAATCATGGGCACAAGTAGTTGTGACTTTGGATTAGACAGTGATTTCTTGGTTGTGACACCAAAAGCACAAGTGGTAAAAAGAAAGTTGATAAATTGTATTTAATCAGAATTTTAAAATTTTGTGGTTTAGACAATACCAACAAGAATGGAGGCCAGGTGCAGTGGCTCACACCTGTAATCCCAGCACTTTGGGAGGCTGAGGCGGGTGGATCACCTGAGGTCAGGAGTTCGAGACCAGCCTGGCCAACATGGTGAAACCCCATCTCTACTAAAAAATACAAAAATTAGCCAGGCGTGGTGCTGGGCGCCTGTAATCCCAGCTACTTGGGAGGCTGAGGCAGGAGAATCACTTGAACCTGGGAGGCAGAGGTTGTGGTGAGCCGAGATCGCACCACCCGCACTTCAGCCTGGGCAACAGAGTAAGACTCGGTCTCAAAAATAAATAAATAAATAAATAAAGAATGGAAAAAGTCCTGGCGCAGTGGCTCGTGCCTATAATCCCAACACTTTTAAGAGGCTGAGGCGGGAGGATCACTTGAGCCCAGGAGTTTGAGACCTGCCTGGCCAACATAAGAAGATCCCATCTCTGCAAAAAAATACAAAAATTAGCGGGGTGTGGTGGTATGCACCTGTAGTCCCAGCTACTAGGGAGGCTGAGGTGGGAGGATCACTTGAGTCCAGCAGGTCAAGTCTCAGTGAGCATAATCAAACCACTTAACTCCAGCCTGGGTGACAGAGAGAGACTTTGTCTCAAAAGGAAAAAAATGGGGAAAAGACAATCCACAGACTGAGAGAAAATATTTGCATATTATGTATCTGATAAGGAATTTATATCTAGAATATTTAATTTTTTTAACTCTTGAAACATTAATAAAAATAATTACAAAATGGGCAAAGGATTTGAGTAGACATTTCTCTATGAAGATATACAGATGTCTAATAATGACATGAAAGCTGGTCAGTAACATTAATTAGAGAAATAAAACCACAATGAGATGCCTCTTTACACCCACGGGGATCACTATAATCAAAAAGAAAATAATAAGTATTGTTGAGGATGTAGAGAAATTGGACCTCTGTACATTGCTGGTGGGAATGTAAAATGATACAGCTGCTTTTAGAAACAGTCTGGCAGTTTCTCAAAGTGTTAAAAATAGAGTTACCTTATGACTGGCAATTTCACTTGCGTATACTCCATACTCAAGAGAATTGAAAACCTCTGTGCACATAAGTTGTAAATGAATGTTGCTAGTAGCATTATTCATAATAACCAAAAAATGGAAACAAACCAAATGTTTATCCACTGATGAATGGATAAAAAAGTGTGGCATATCCATACAAATGGAATATTATTTGGTAATAAAAAAAGAACTATTAAATTATGCTACAATATAAATGAACCTTTAAAACTTCCTAAATGAAAGAAACCAGTCACAAGAGACCACATATTGTGTGGTTCCATTTATATGGAATGTCCAGAATAGGCAAATATATGGACAAGAAAGTAGATTAGTAGCTGCCAAGGGTTGGGAGTAAATGGGCAGTGACTGCTAATGGGTATGTGATTTTTTTGGGGGGTGATGAAGATGCTTTAAAATTTATTGTAGTCTTGGTTGCACAACTCTGAATATACTAAAAACCACTGAATTGTACACTCTAAGTAAGTAAATTGTATGGTACATGAGATACATATCAGTAACTCCATTTTCTCTCTCTCTTTTTTTTCTAAGAGACAAAGTCTCACTCTGTCTTCCAGACTCGAGTTGCAGTAGCAGCATCATAGCTCACTGTAACCTCAAACTCCTAGGCTCAAGCGGTCCTTCTGCCTCATCCTCCTAGATAGCTAGGGCTGCAGATGAACACCACCATGCCTGGCTAATTCTTTTTTTTTTTACATTCTTTGTAGAGATGTGATCTGACTTGGTTGCCCAGGCTGGTCTCTTAACTCCTGGCCTCAAGTGGTCCTTCTGCCTTGGCCTCCCAAAGTGCTGGAATTACAGGCATGAGCCACCATGCCTGGCCTTTTTTTTTTTTTTTTTTTTTTAAGAGTTATGGTTGGAACCTTTTATTTCAGAGTTGAATCACTAACGGCATCTGACAGCTGCTGCATTTCTTGTTTGCGTTAAGTGTTCAAATTGAAGCAAGTTGATGGTTCGGACCTTGCCAATTTAAAGCTTCATTATTTTTGAAATGTTTTTCAAATGTTATATTTTAACATTGGGTGTTCCTTGATTTTTTTACTTTAAAAGTACTCCTTTGTCAGTTTACTCAAAATTTCAAAACTAGTTGCATGTATTTTGCTTTAATGTTGAATCTACACTTAGAGGTTGTACTCTAGATCTAGTTAAAATTCAATATCATTGTAGCCCTGCATTGCTAGGTGGGGCTTATTAAGGTTAGACATAAAATATTTCATATCCCCCCAAAAACTTGTGAATTCATTCTTCATCATGAACATTTAATCTTCCATTGGAATTCTAGAGGGACTTCAGACTTTAAAAAGTGTTTTATAAACCTCATCTGTTATTGGAAATAATTCTGGAGACCTTAAATTTAAAGATAATAGAAATTACATTTTGTAAAACTTTTATTTATACTTTTGAAGGTTAGAGACATCTTAAAGAAAATAGTACCTGTCAACTCACCATGTCGTGACTTTGGCAACAACTTTTTTTTTTTCTTGTTTAATAGTAGACACAGGGTCTCACTGTGTTGTCCAGGCTGGTCTGGAACTCCTGGGTTCAAGCAGTCCTCCCACCTTGGCCTCCCAAAGTGCTGGGATTACAAGCATGAGCTACTGTGCCTAGCCAACTTTTATCTGATACAGTATTGTAGTTTCTCTCACTAATGCTTTTGTATTGTCACTACTCTTATATCCTCATTGAAACTTTTTTTTAAATTGTGTCAAGTAATAAATTTTTTTGTTAGCCCAGGTGAACATCTGGTACAAAAATAAGGAAAATTTAAATATTTTTAACATCCATAGTGTTAAACACGCAAAATTATAAATTAAAAAAGTTTTTTCTTTTTTTTTTTTTTTTTTTCCCCCAGCAAGTACATTGATACCCATTCTTGGATTTATCTTCCATGTCAGCAAACTCTGGTACTTGGGATTTTAGTAATACTAGTGTCCTGGAGTGTCAACAGGACAGGTTTAACAAGAGCTTTTTAGTAAATCTTCTATACATTCAGTATATTAACATACTTTGATAACAGCCTTGTTTGTGTGTGAATTGATGGATGTTTGCTTGCAACCCTTGTTATATTTTTCAGTTGATACTAGCAGGAGAATGAGTTGGTGCTAACGTGCACTTTTGCTTGCTTGATAATGTTCATCACAGCCTTTTTTTTTTTTTTTAAGTTTTCTTTTCTTTTTTTTTTTTTGGAGATGGAGTCTCGCTCTGTCACCCAGGCTGGAGTGCAGTGGCGTGATCTCAGCTCACTGCAACCTCCACCCCCGGGTTCAAGCAATTCTCCTGCCTCAGCCTCCCAAGTAGCTGGGACTACAGGCGCACACTGCCACGCCCAGCTAATTTTTTGTATTTTAGTAGAGACGGGGTTTCACCATGTTGCCCAGGGTGGCCTTGAACTCCTGAGCTCTGGCAGTCCACCCGACTCGGCTTCCCAAAGCGCTGAGATTACAGGCGGGAGGCACCGTGCCTGGCCAAGTTTTCTATTCTTAATTAGTGATCTGTTTCTGTATTGAAGGATAATTTTTTTTTTCTTCTCAGCAACCATGGCCTGAGACTGAAGAATAATTATTTACCTTACCACATTGAATCTAGCATTTCTAAAAACTCAAACAAAAAGCAGTTTAATACTAAGTCATTATTTAAAAGTTGAAGTACCCAAAATTTATAAAACTCTATACAATTATATTATGACATGGGAACTATTCAGATTTTATTATTGCCCAACAGACCATTCTTATGTGATGAGAGTGGATGTGTTTGTTTACTTTTGCAATTTTTGGTGAGGATGTGTGCACATGCCAGAAAGAAAAAACCAAGGCAGAACCACAGTTTTCTGATTAGGAATACAGTTTTCTGAATCAACGTTCAGTATTTGCCACAAGGATGTAGGAGAATGTTAATTGTCAGTGGTCTTTACTATGTTAAATGTAACACACTATGTGTCTTTTTGCCAAGGGTGTGACCTAGCCATTAGAGGCTTATTTTAACCATCTTTGGATGGAAAGCGTGCCAAAAATGAGTGTGATTTTTTTTTTTTTAATCCAACATGGTGATAAAATTTTGTGTGTTTTTTTGAGTGTGTTTTTCATAAAGGTGCATTGACTCTTCAAAATTGGTAACCATATTTTGCTCTTAAGAGTGTCATTTCTCAATCTTAGTATTTTGGATGACCTTCCAGGGGTTCATGCCACATTTTGTGTATGCAATTACTAGAAATAGGGTCTATAGCTTTCTGAGAGTATCAAAGGAATATATACTCCTTAAACAGATAAGAATTATTAAAGGGGGTCATTTGCCCTTGCATAATTGATCCAAACTGTTGTACTTTATTAGTTTTTGCTCATGTTTGTGAACATTTGGCTTTATACATAGAAAAATGCACAATAAATAGCTGCTACAGAATGAAAGTTATTTGTTTCTTCCAGACTGGTTGTCTGTTCTGTTCTTCTCATAGCTTTCAGTGTTCCTTTCTCTAGAGCTGTCCTTTCTAAACACTTTTGCACAAATCTATCAGATTTACGTTTTGAAGGAAACAAAGTCTTTAATGAGACTCCCTTCTAAGAACTGTGTTTCGTATTTCATTTCACTTTGATTTAGGTGTTACTGCTGCAGAAAGTTTTATTTTTGTTTAAGTATAGGTTTGAGTTAATTTAAGGTTTATTTTCTGTGAAAAACTACTTGAAATGTTAAAAAGGCAACTTTACAAGATTTGTGTCTTGAGGGACACTCAGCTTGGTTTTCATTATTATCCTTTTAGGATACAGATGAGTTCATTTTACCTACCGGAGCTAATAAAACCTGGGGCAGATTTGAGCTGGCCTTCTTTACGATTGGAGGGTGTTGCATGACAGGTGAGTGTTACATACTTTTTTCTCAAGAGTGCTCAGTTCAAGTAGTTGAGGGTGCGTAAAATCAAAAGCAATTAGAATGTTGGTTTCAGGGTTTTTTTTTTTAATATTTACATTTGTCTTTTTCTATTAAATAAAAATGAAAAAGAATCAGAAGTGTAGTTATGCAGTTTTGAGGTTTTTTTTTTAATATAAAGCTGTCTTATCTGGGTGAATTTTTATGATTTACCAGGGGCTGCGTTTGGGGCAATGAATGGTCTTCGGCTAGGATTGAAGGAAACCCAGAACATGGCCTGGTCCAAACCAGGAAATGTACAGTAAGTCTCTTGTAACCATCTGATGTAGTGATACTTGAATATTAAGCTCTGTTGTATTGGTTTGATGAGTACAACCTTGAGATTACAGATGGTTAGCATAGTTATGTGCTTTTTTGTCTTTGTTTTTTAATCTTAATCAAAATAAAAGCAACTAAGGAATCAGATTACTGACTCTAAGCTTTTAAAAAGGAGTGATTTTTTTAATCAGTGTCCCTCAATCAGCTAGTGCTATGCCAGCCTGACTTCTCAGCTGCACCTGTTACATTCTCCAACCCTATGTGACTTGCTTTTCAAATTGTTGAGTTGCTAATGGGAATTTTGGATTGTTTGGGGGCATGCAGATCCATAGGAAATGGTAATGAAGAATAAGCAGCTCATGAGAGTGATGGCTCAAGCTGCCATCATTTAACTTGAACTTCTTACTGTCTTGACTTTGTTTCCGAAGTGATGAGCCAGATACATTTTAAATAAAATTTTTAGAATTAGAGTTAACTCCAAAAGGATAAGACACAGTTTTCTGTTAGAACTTGAAGTTACAGAGAAGGGAAAGTACAGTTAAAAGGATCAGAAAGTATGTTTTCACCCAACTTAAGAAGTAAACATGGCCAGTCCCTCTTGATATTCCTTAAACAATATGTTTAGTTTTGCCCATTTTTATGCTTCATGTAAGTGGAATCATGAGTATGTATTCTTCGATGGCTACTGTTTTGTTTTAGGACACTTTAAACTCCTATCTTCCTTTCATATTGTTCACCCAGCAGATGGCACCAGATGTGCTAGAATTAGACCATGGGAAACTGGAAGGCCTGTTAAATTGTGTGGTTTTTTGAGAGACAGGGCCTTGCTGTGTTGCCCGAGCTGGAGTGCAATGGTGCCATCACAGCTCACTGTAGCCTTGACCTCCTGGGCTCAAGTGATCCTCCCACCTCAGCCTCCCGAGTAGCTGGGACTACAGGCACATGCCACCATGCCCAGTTAATTTTTTAATTTTTTGTAGAGACGGGGTCTCACTGTATTGCTCAGGCTGTTCTCAAACTCCTGAGCTCAGGTGATCCTCTTGCCTCAGCCTTCCAAACTGCTGGGATTACAGACATGAGCCACTGCGCCTAGCTCTGTTAAGTTTTTTATATTCCTGTTACTGTGTGGATCTCTGTCCATGCTTTACCAGCCTAGATCCTTCAATATTTTTATTACTTGTCCCTCGCTTCAATAATATTTTTAAGTTTTTGTATTATAGGGAATTTTGAATATATAAAAGTAGACAAAATACATAGCATAGTGAACACATGAACCATAACCCATCCTCAACAACCATCAACCATGGCCAGTTCTATCCCATCTCCCTCTCCTCTCCCACCTTATTTTGAGACAAAAACCCCAATATCATATTAAATACAAATTTGGAAGTAGATCTCCTAGAAAAGACAACTTGCTTCCTTTCTTAAAACAAGTTATTAAAATGCTTGTTAAAAATGAAAAAATGATGGCTGAACTTAAAATACGTTAGTAAATATGTAACATAATTAGAAACAATATACTTCTGTTTGTAAACATTACTGATTTTTTAAAACAATCTTTTAGAAGCAATACAAATTTTTGTTTCTGTAGAACGTTAATTGAGTCGTTTAATAATTAAACTGAATGAGTTCCTTCACTCTTTGTTACTGTATTTCCATAATTTCCAGCAGTAGTCAGCTGTCTGGACAGAACCATTCCTGGGATGGTGTTACACTGCTGGGAGAAGAATGTCTTCTCTTCATCCAGTTGCCTCCATCACTGTTCTGGTGGTGTCTGGCACTGGTGCAAGGCAGAACTGTGCTTCCTTGAGAGTGTGCTGAGCATTCACCTTGGCTGCTTGGTTCTAGTCTGGGAGCAGACACAGGGTGCTTTCCCCATGTATTCTAGTTAGATGGCTGATTCCTTCTCTTTAATTCTACTTTATATTCTGTACTTCGATATTCTTTACTTTATATTCTGTACTTTGATATTCTTTACTTTGATTATCTTTAACATTCTAAGCATATGTTCCCCTCCCAAAAAGAACCTTTTAGAAGCTAGCTCGCCATAGTTAACAGTGGCATTTTTTACATGGATTAGTTTCTGTAAACCTCTGTAAGATACATTCCAGGCTGTCATTCAAAGCCTTATATATATTTAATGTGTATTCATTATATTATACATTTAATAATAAGAGTTTTCCTTATTATTATTATTATTATTATTATTATTAAGGACTTATATAAAAGTCCTTAAGACTTTTGCCTAAAATTTTGAAAGTTTTAACCTAATTTTCACTTATGTAGAGTAAAAACCATCCTTATTGAAATCGGAGATATTAAGATGTATTTTAGAATTTAAAAAACTTTGCGCCCTGGGTCTAGACATGTTAAATAGCCATTATTGTTTTTAAAGATTACTAGAGAAATAATGATTCTAAATACAGATTCTTTCTCTTTCTGCCCTGATAGGATTTTGAATATGGTGACTAGGCAAGGGGCACTTTGGGCTAATACTCTAGGTTCTCTGGGTAAGTAGAGATCTCGTTTGATAATAAATTGTTAACTTAAAGAAAGAATGCACAAATATCATGAACAATTTGATCAACCCATATTCTGGTCCTAGGATATGAGACAATTATGTTTAAATCCATTCCAATGCATAATGTAGATACTACTTAGGGAAAGACCATGAACTAACTTATGAAATAATCTCAGGTGCTGATACCATTCTGAATACCATTTCTGAATTTTTAAAATATTTTGGACACTGCACACTCTCCAAGCACAACACCCAATAAAATCATGTTTAAATGAAATCCAGATAATTTAGGTCCAAAGTAAAGAGCTTTGTATGTTAGACAAGGTTCAAGGTCCTGTAGTGATACATGATAAATTAATCCAGCCCTCTTGCTATGTTTTCTTAATAGCGTGTTCATTAGTCTGTTTACCTGAGTAGATTTCAGGCACCTAATTGCCACAATTGGAATAGGTTCCTTGTAGATAATGAAAACGTTTGCAGTTCTAGGCAAAAGGTAATTTAGTAGTGCTTAGTCAGAGCCTAATGCTTTCATACCATATTGTTTATGAATGATTGATCACTTACAATAGATCTCTTATGGCTTATGTCCTGACATCCAAAATTTTCCTACTGTGTGAACTTAGTTGAAAATCTCAATTTAAATTGTGGCAGATTAAGGAGGGGAAGACATAGAAAACTCATTGAAAACATAGAAAAAGCGTTTGTTATGGCAGAGTAAGGTCCTGCCTTGTCACAGAATTTGGAAGCAGTACATCTTCACACTGTAAAGCCAGTTTTCACACTTTGGATCCTAAGAGATGGCTGCTTTCATATGTTGCTGATGTCTGCATTCCTCCCACCCTCCTACAGAGTCACCCCTCTCTGCTTCTTTTAATTGCTTGTATACCTAGAGTAGTCAGCTGTCCTTGTCTGCCTAGGACTTTCAGAGAAAAGTCCAAGAAACTATGTTCCAATAATCTCCACCCCCCGCCCACCCCGCCCCACAGTCCTGGACAAACTAGAATGGCTGGTCACCCTCTGTGTACCCATTGTGGTATGATCAAGAAGGATGTTCTGCTTGTGATCAGTTTCAGTTAAATAAGTTGAAGAGGAAGATGAACTTTCATAGAAGTATAAAAATACTGCAGTAGAGGAGTTGTAAGGCTGAGCGCGGTGTATTGTTGCAAGGGGCAAGTGTAGCTATAATTTTGAGAAAGAGTTTAAAAGTTTAACGTTCATTCCAGATAGGAATCTGCAAGAGCATAGAAAGATGGCTTGGGGGAAGATACTTTAAAATGAAATGGTGCTAGTGTTATAATACGTGAGAATCAAACCTCACTTTTTTTTTAATCTATTTTTTCTTATACTAGAAATACGTGTGTGTGTGTGTGTGTGTGTGTGTGTGTGTGTGTGTGTGTGTATGTGTGTCTTCAATCCGAAGTACAGCAATTATGGGTAGCATATAAATGAAAATTTTAAATATTCTTCCTGAGACTTCCTAGCGGTACTTTCTAGAAATAGCTATTGATGTTTCTTCTGAATTCTTCCAGGCGTTTCTCTGCATAGCCAGTCAGTCGTGTATCATGTGCACATGTCCCTGATTTACTTATTAGTGAAAATGATTCTTCTGGTTTTTAAGTGACTGTATAGTATTCCATTATATGAAAAGTCCCTCTCTGGATCAATTCAGATGGTACAAATGCTCTTGATGGGCATTTTATTTGTTGCCAGGTGTTTGCTATTAGAAACTGTTCTAGTGATCATTCCATGTATATCTTTGGATAAATTTTTCTAAATATAATTGCCATACTGACTTTTGTGTTGAAAAAAAAAAACAGTTTTTCCTCTGCTCTCACACTACAACAGTCAACATAGGATAGTTCTGTGACCAGTTATGTGGGAATATTTCCCCACATACCAAGTAATCTCTTTTGCAGTGGACAGCAGTTGGGTGTCCTCCTGTTTCACTTCTGCCTGGAGATAGCATTAGATCAGCAGGTTGAGCACTCTGTCCCACAAAACTGAGCCCCACTTTGGATACTTCTGATGCTGATCGCAAGCTCCAGGTTATTTTACCTGTGCTTCTGACCAACCAGCTTTGTCAGGGTTTCCCACAACCCCCTCTTTGGGTTTGATTAATTTATTGGATTGGCTCACAGAACTCGAGGGAACACATACTTAACATTTGCGTATTTATTATAAAGATTTTTTTTTTTTTTTTTTTGAGACAAGGTCTTGCTCTGTCACCCATGCTAGAGTGCAGTGGAGCTCACTGCAACCTAGACTTCTGGGCTTAAGCAAGCCTCCCACCTCAGCCTTTCAAGGAGCTGGGACTATAGGCAACATGCACCACCATGCCAACTAATTTTTTTAAAAATTTTTTTGGAGAAGGGGGTATCCCTATGTTGTTGCCCAGACTGGTCTCTGACTCCTGGGCTTATGTGATCTTCCCACCTCGGCCTCCCAGAGTGCTGGGATTACAGAAACTTTGTGAGCCACCACACCTGGCTGGATATTTTTAAAGGATACAAATAGCCCAGTCAAGGAATACATAAGGTGAGGCCTGGATGGGCCCTGAGTGCAGGAGCTTTCATTTCACTGGAGTTGGGGTGCACTAGCCTCCTGACACGTGGGTGAGTTCTTTCTCACTTTCCTGCAAGTCCCATGAGTTGAGCTGTCCAGAAAGTCTTCCGACCCCATCCACTTGGGCCTCATGTGGAAAATTGATTGGATAGGCATGACTGAAGCATGGACAACCTTATAGAACTGTGATTGGACAAAAAGGACATGCTCTACTACTAATAGACTGGGCACAGAAATCCAGCAAGGCCTGCCTGCCCAGATTCTCCTTGGCCTTTCTGTGCAACATTTCTTCTTCCTGGGTATGGGGTACGATCTCTTCTGAAATGGGGGTCTTACAGCCTGCAATCAGACAAGGTAGGTCATAGAATTTCTTTATGGCCAGTTCCAAGACAGGAAGGTGTGGGGAAAGATTAGAGTCCTGCTGTGGGGAGAAAAGGGAGCAGGTGAAAGGAGGGCAGGAGAAGGTCACAGAGAGAGATTCTGTTTCTGAGGCTGCTTCTGAGGCCTGAAGTGCCCCAGTAATACAACAAAAGACCTTCACCTTTGTCCCTCTGAAGCTGTTCCAAAGCTGATTCCAGAACCAAGGACAAATACCTTAACAAGTGATTGTTTTAGTCACTTAGGAAGGGCTATGGGAGTTATGAGCTAGGAACCATGGATGAAAACCAATATATGTATATCATAATATCACACTTTATCACTGTTTTGTCACTGAGCACTTCCATTTCCTCTTTAGCGTTGCTCTATAGTGCATTTGGTGTCATCATTGAGAAAACACGAGGTGCAGAAGATGACCTTAACACAGTAGCAGCTGGAACCATGACAGGCATGTTGTATAAATGTACAGGTGAGTACTGTTGAATGGGGAGCCATCTCTTAATATACTTGAAGTGCGCTTTTTAAAATTCATGGTTTTCAAGGAAATTACACTCTGTTGCAGTATAATCTAGTGTTCTAACTTTATGGTTATTTTGGTTTGGTTTGGTTTTTAATTGTGGTAAAATATGAGATTTACCCATCTTAACCATTTTTAAGTATACAGTACATTAGTATTATAGTCACATGATTATATAACCAATCTCTGGAACTTTTTCATCTTGCAAAACTGATACTCTGTACCTATTAAGCCTCCAATTTACCACTTCCTTAGCTCCTGATAATGTTACACTTTCTGTCTCTGAATTGGCTGCTTTAGGCACCTCATATAAGTAGAATCATACAATATTTGTCCTTTTTTGATTGGCTTATTTTACGTAGCATAATATCCTCAAGGTTCATCCATATTGTTGCGTGTGCCAGAATTCCCTTCCTTTTTAAAGCTAAATAATATTCATTCTGTGTATGTGTACCACATTTTGCATGTGCATTCTTTTATCAAGGAATATTTGGGTTGCTTCTACCTTTTGGCTATTGTGAATAATGCTGCTACGAATATGGATGTACAAATATCTCTTCAAGGTCCTTCTTTCTTTTTTTGGATATATGTGCAGAAGTGGGATTCTTGGATCATATGGTTTATGGTGGTTTTTTGACATTAAGAATATAAGATTCTTTTCTGTATTTTTCATTCATTTTAGTTTAGTTTTTTTAATCTTGGACAGACTAAGCAATAGAATATTCAGAATTGTTGGTTTTGTTTTAAACAATAGTTTGACCTGTGACATCAGCATATTAAACTATCACAAGACACACACAAGGTCGAAGCCCAGGAATGACTTCCCTGTAAGTCAATTTAGAGCATCTTATTCCTATGATCATCTTACGCTACTGGGAGATAAACATGTTGCTGTCAAGGGTCAGATAATTCTCTTCTGTGATAAGTTTTACTAGTTTAGAAGCATACATCCAAGTAATGCCTAATTTAGCTTTTTTATTGTGTTGATACATCTTTGGCTACTTAATTTTTATTTTTATCAAAATAATCCACATACGTGATTTTTTAAGTCAAGGTTTTTATCTTAACGTCTAAAAGATTTTAATGATGTTTAATCCACATACTTGATTTTTTAAGTCAAGGTTTTTATCTTTTTAACATCTAAAAGATTTTAATGATGCACAACAGTGTTCTATACGTCTCACCTTAATTCCCTTTTCCCAAAGGCAACTTTTAATTTTTTTTTTTTTCTTTCTTTTTTGAGATGGAGTCTTGGTGTCACCCAGGCTGGAGTGCAGTGGCATGATCTCGGCTCACTGCAACCTCCACCTCCTGGGATCAAGCAGTTCTCCCATCTCAGCCTCCTGAGTAGCTGGGACTGCAGGCACACACCACCACATCTGGCTAATTCTTGTATTTTTAGTAGAGACGGGGTTTCACCATATTGGTCAGGCTGGTCTCAAACTCCTGACCTCAGGTGATCCACCCTCCTCAGCCTCCCAAGTGCTAGGATTACAGGCGTGAGCCACCACTCCCAGCTTATTTTAATTTTTTTTTTAAGACAGAGTCTCACTCTGTCATCCAGGCTGGAGTGCAGTGGCACAATCAAGGCTCACTGTAGCCTTGACCTCCTGGGCTCAGGTGATCCATCTCAGCCTCCTGAGTAGCTGGGACTACAGGCACACGCCTCCACACCCAGCTAATTTTTTTTTTTTTTTTCTTTTTCGGAGATGGGGTCTCACTATGTTGCCCAGGCTGGTCTTGAACTCCTGGGCTCAAGCAGTCATCCTGCCTCAGCCTCCCAAAGTGCTAGGATTGCAGATGTGAGCTACCATGCCTAGGCTGCTTTAATTCATTATTTTTTATTTTCATGTTTTTAAATAATATTATTATCTTGATTTTTCTTGACTTTTCAGTCTTACATATTGTCTGTTGACTTCCAAGAGGAAAGCTGTGTTAACTCTGCTAAGAATTGTACAAAATACGCTTAAAGTAGAAAGGAGGTCACATCCTTTATATAGGTTAGCTCATTTACCATTCTCTGAAGGTAGTAGACTGGTACTCCCTTGTTTTATAGACAAAGAAACTAAAATTCAGACAAGTTAAATTACCTCCACATGCTCACACAGCTCTGTCATGTTCTAGTGCATCAAACTCTAGTCTGAGTCCAAAGCCCGTTGTCTTTCTCACCAAACCAAATTACCTCCAGGACAGAGAAATCAGGAAAATTTCTAGAAAAGGGAAAGAAGTAATAAATAACAGTTGAGCCAGACCTTAAGGATGGACTGAATTTTCTGATGTATCTGTTTGATTATATGATACATATAAGGAAGTTGTGGGAGAAAAGTCTGGGAAGATAGTTTAGGCTTATGGCATGGAAAGCTAAGGTAAGAAGCTTAAAATTACATAGAAAGGCAGCATGTCATCAAAGGTTTTTGGACAGAGTATTAGAATTATCTCTGAGGAAGATTAAGTTAGAAGTAGTGGGTAGATAAAATAGATTGGAGGTAGAAGCCTAAAGTCAAAATGGTCCAGGAAAAGTATTAGTTGAAGAGATGGTAAGGAAAAGGTTGAAGTGAAAGATGATTGGGTCAGCTGGGCACGGTGGCTCACGCCTGTAATCCCAGCATTTTTGGGAGGCTGAGGCGGGTGGATCCCCTGAGGTCAGGAGTTCGAGACCAGCCTGACCAACATAGAGAAATCCGGTCTCCACTAAAAATACAAAATTAGCCAGGTGTGGTGGCACATGCCTGAAATCCCAGCTACTCGGGAGGCTGAGGCAGGAGAATTGCTTGAACCTGGGAGGTGGAGGTTGCGGTGAGGCAAGATCACGCCACTGCACTCTAGCCTGGGCAATAAGAGTGAAACTCTGTCTCAAAAAAAAAAAAAAAAAGAAAAGAAAAAAAATAATGATGGGATCACTAGAAGACGGTTTGCTGTTTGGTGGTTTCTTTCTCTGTTTTGTTATATTGTGGAAGCAATATATGGGACTTTGAATAGCATAGCAGCTAGCTGTCCTGGGCTCCCTCACCACTGCCCCCATCTGTCCCTTACTTATCTCTTCCAGGCAAGACTAAAGTCACTAAAATGTTTCCCTTGTTTTTTTTTTTGAGTTGCGGTCTTGCTCTGTCACCCAGGCTAAAGTGCAGTGGTGCCATCATGGCTCACTACAGCCTTGAACTCCTGGGCTCAAAGGATCCTCTCACCTCAGCCTGCCCAGTGGTTCAGACTACAGGTGCATGCCACCACACCCAGCTAATTTTTTTCATTGTTTCTTTTTTTGTTTAGCAATGGGGTCTTGCTATGTTACCCAGGCTGGCCTCAAGCAATCCTCCCACCTCAGCCTCCTGAGTTACTGGATTACAGGCATGAGCCACTGTGCCCAGCTGTCTGAATTGTTTTTGACTCCCCATAGTACTGTGTCCTTTTAGGAGAGTTTTTTTGCCACTGATTCTCAGTTGTTTGGGTGATTGCTTTTCTGTGGGTGGGAGGAATTGTCCTAGATCTCTTTGAGGGTCTTATGAAAGTTTTTGACAGTTTCTAAACCCTGCATTAACATCTCAGTATGTGTAGACTCTCGTTAGGAGAATTATGAAACTTAACTCTTTAGAAGTTTTATAAACACTTTGAGGCTTATGATTAAATGAAAGTGCTGATACTTAGAAGGTAGCAATCAAAATCCAATTAAGCTTTTTTTTGCTTTTTTTTTTTTTTTAAACGGAGTTTTGCTCTGTCGCCAGGCTGCGGTGCAGTGGCACAATCTTGGCTCACTGCAACCTCCACCTCCTGGGTTCAAGCGATTCTCCTGCCTCAGCTTCCCAAGTAGCTGGGATTACAGATGCCCGCCACCACGCCCAGCTAATTTTTGTATTTTTAATAGAGTCGGGGTTTCACCATGTTGGCCAGGATGTTCTCGATCCCCTGACCTCATGATCCGCCCACCTCAGCCTCCCAAAGTGCTGGGATTACAGGCGTGAACCACCACGCCGGGCCAAGCCAGATTCTTTAAAGTGGCTCTATCTTCTCTGTAATTTGCTCCCTTGCCACTTTGATGACTCCAGATTCTACTCCTATTCCCATTGTCTTTTAACTCCCACTTCAGGGCCTTTATTCTTGCTGTTACCATTTCCTAGAACAATCCTTCCAGATACCTACCTGAAATGCTGCATCATCTGTCCATCTTTGTTCAGATACCACCTTTTCTTTGAGGCCTTCTCTTAAACACTGTCGTACATACAGTTTTGCACATACATTTTAGTTGTAGGATAAATTGCTAAAAATTAAGTTATTTGAGAAAATTATCTGCATGCTTAAAACGTGAATGACTACTGCCAAATGACCCTTCTAGTACTTGCTAACGTTTGCCAGTGTGAGCATCTACCATCACTTTTTTTTTTTTTTGAGACAGAGTTTCACTCTCGTTGGCCAGACTGGAGTACAATGGCATGATCTTGGCTCACAGCAACCTCTGCCTCCTGAGTTCAAGCGATTCTCCTGCCTCAGCCTCCCCAGTAGCTGGAATTACAGGCATGCACCACGATGCCCGGCTAATTTTGTGTATTTTTAGTAGAGACGGGGTTTCTCCATGTTGGTCAGGCTGATCTCGAACTCCCGACCTCAGGTTGCAGTGAGCAGAGATCGCGCCACTGAATTCCAGCCTGGGCGATAGAGCGAGTCTGTCTCAGAATGAAATGACGTGACATGACATGACATGATGAAATGAATAATGAAATGCCGGGTGTGGTGGCACACTCCAGCCTGGGCAATAGAGCAAGTCTCTGTCTCGAAATGAAATGGAATGAAATGAAGAGAATAAATGAAATAAATGAAATGAAATAATAAAATGAATAATGAATTGCCAGGTGAAATGAAATGAAATGATGAAATGAATAATGAAATGCCGGGTGCAGTGGTGCACTCCAACCTGGGCAATAGAGCAGGTCTCCGTCTCGAAATGAAATGAGATGACATGAGATGAAATGGGATGAAATGAAATAATGAACAATGAAATGCCGGGTGAAATGAAATGAAATGAAGAAATAAATGAAATATTGAAATGAATAATAAAATTCTGGGTGCGGTGATGCACTCCAGCTTGGGTGATAGAGTGAGACTCCGTCTTGAAATGAAATGATGAAATAATGAAACAAAATTAAATATGAAATGAAATACGAAATACTGGGTGCGGTGGCTCACGCCTGTAATCCTAGCACTTTGGGAGGCTGAGGAGGGTGGATCACCTGAGGTCAGGAGTTCAAGACCAGCCTGGCCAACATGATGAAACCCCATCTCTACTAAAATACAAAAACTAGCCGGGCATGATAGCGGGTGCCTGTAATCCCAGCTACTTGGGAGGCTGAGAGAGGAGAATCGCTTGAACCCAGGAGGCAGAGGTTGCAGTGAGCAGGGATCGCGCCACTGCACTCCAGCCTGGGTGTTAGAACAAGCCTCTGGCTCGAAATGACATGACATGACATGATGAAATGAAATAATGAAATGAATAATGAAATGCGTGTGGTGCACTCCAGCCTGGGCAATGCAGCAAGTCTCTGTCATGAAATGGATTGAAATTGAATGGGAATGGGAATATGGGAATGGAATAAATGAAATGAAGAAATATGAAATGCCAGGTGTGGTGGCGCACTCCAGCCTGGGTGATAGAGCGAGTCTCCATCTTGAAGTGAAATGAAATGAAATGAAATGAAGAAATGAAATAAATGAATACTGAAATGAAATAATAAAATGAAATGCCAGGTGTGGTGGCACACTCCAGCCTGGGCAATAGAGCGCGTCTCCGTCTTGAAATGAAATGAAATAAATGAAATGAGAAATGATGAGATGAAATATGAAATGCTGGGTGAAATGAATAATGAAATGCCAGGTGTGGTGGCGCAGTCCAGCCTGGGTGATAGAGCGAGTCTCTGTCTTGAAATGAAATGAAATGATCAAATGAAATGATGAAATGAAATAATGAAATGAATAATGAAATTCTGGGTGCAGTGGCGCACTCCAGCCTGGGCAATAGAGGGAGTCTCCGTCTCGAAATGAAATGAAATGAAATGATGAAATGAAATAATGAAATGAATAATGAAATGCCGGGTGAAATGAAATGAAATGAAAAAATGAAATAAATGAAATGATGAAATGAAATAATGAAATGAATAATGAAATGCCAGGTGCAGTGGCACACTCCAGCCTGGGTGATAGAGCGAGTCTCTGTCTCAAATGGGATGAAATGAAATGAAGAAATGAAATAATGAATAATGAAATGCCGGGTGAAATGAAATGAAATGAAGAAATAATGAAATGAAATGAATAATGAAATGCTGGCTGTGGTGATGCACTCCAGCCTGGGTGATAGAGTGAGACTCCGTTTTGAAATGAAATGAAGGAGATGAAATGATGAAATAAATATGAAATGGAACATGAAATACTGGGTGCAGTGGCTCACGCTTGTAATCCTAGCACTTTGGGAGGCCTAGGTGGGCGGATCACTTGAGGTCAGGAGTTCAAGATCAGCCTGGCCAACATGGTGAAACCCTGTCTCTACTAAAATACAAAAATTAGCCGGGCATGATGGCAGGTGCCTGTAATCCCAGCTACTCGGGAGGCTGAGAGAGGAGAATCGCTTGTACCCAGGAGGTAGAGGTTGCGGTGAGCAGAGATCACACCACTGCACTCCAGCCTGGGCAATAGAACGAGTCTCCATCTCAGAATGAAATGACATGACATGATGAAATGAAATAATGAAATTAATAATGAAATGTGGGTGGCGCACTCCAGCCTGGGTGATAGAGTGAGTCTCTGTCATGAAATGAAATGGGAAATGAAATATGAAATGAATAATGAAATGCTGGGTGCACTCCAGCCTGGGTGATAGAGCGAGTCTACGTCATGAAATTGAAAAATGAAATGAAATAGATGAAATGAAAAAATGAAATAATAATGAAATGCCGGGTGTGGTGGTGCACTCCAGACTGGGCGATAGAGCGAGTCTCTGTCTCGAAATGAAATGAAACAAATGAAATGAAATGAAATGAGAAATGAAATGATGAAATACGAAATGCCAGGTGAAATGAAATGAATAATGAAATGCTGGGTGTGGTGGCGCACTCCAGACTGGGCGATAGAGCGAGTCTCTGTCTCGAAATGAAATGAAACAAATGAAATGAAATGAAGTGAGAAATGAAATGATGAAATGAAATACGAAATGCCGGGTGAAATGAAATGAATAATGAAATGCTGGGTGTGGTGGCACACTCCAGCCTGGGTAATGGAGCGAGTCTCCATCGAAATGAAATGAAATGAGATGAAATATGAAATGAAATAAATGAAACTAAATGATAAAATGGAATAATGAAATGCTGGGTGCGGTGGCGCACTCCAGCCTGGGCAATAGAGCAAGTCTTCATCTGGAAATGAAACGAAATGAAATGAAATGATGAAATGAATAATGAAATGCTGGGTGAAATGAAATGAAATAAATGAATAATGAAATGCCAGATGCAGTGGCGCACTCCAGCCTGGGTGATAGAGCGAGTCTCTGTCTCGAAATGAAATGACATGACATGACATGACATGACATGACATGATGAAATGAAATAATGAAATGAATAATGAAATGCTGGGTGTGGTGGTGCACTCCAGCTTGCGCGGTAGAGTGAGTCTTCATCTCTAAATGAAATAAAATGAAATGATGAAATGAATAATGAAATGCCAGGTGCGGTGGCGCACTCCAGCTTTGGGCAACAGAGCAAGTCTCTGTCTCGAAATGAAATGAAGTAAATGAATAATGAAATGCCGGGTGTGGTGGTGCACTCCAGCCTGGGCGATTGAGCGAGTTTCCATCTCGAAATGAAATGAAACGAAATGAAGAAATGAAATAATGAAATGAATAATGAAATGCTGGGTGCAATGAAATGAAGAAATGAAATAATGAAATGAAATGAATAATGAAATGTCAGGTGCAGTGGCGTACTCCAGCCTGGGTGATAGAGTGAGTTTCCATCTTGAAATGAAAGAAATGAAATATGAAATGCTGGGTGTGGTGGCTCACACCTGTAATCCTAGCACTTTGGGAGGCCGAGGCAGGTGGATCACCTGAGGTCAGGAGTTCAAGACCAGCCTGGCCAACATGATGAAACCCCATCTCTACTAAAATAAAAAAACTAGCCGGGCATGATAGCGGGTGCCTGTAATCCCAGCTACTTGGGAGGCAGAGAGAGGAGAATCGCTTGAACCCAGGAGATGGTGGTTGCCATGAGGCAAGATCGCGCCACTGCACTCCAGCCTGGGCAGCTGAGCGAAACTCTGTCTCAAAAAAATAAAAATAAATAAATGAATAAAATAAATTACTCTCTATCTGACAGCTGCTAGTTTTTCCCTCATGATCTTTCTATTAAAATAGCTCTGTACTTACTATGTTGAGCCCTTCCTTTTTTTTTGACAGGGTCTCAGACTAGAGTACAGTGGTGTGATCATGGCTCACTGCCACCTCTGCTTCCTGGGTTCAAGTGATGCTCCCATCTCAACCTCCCAAGATGCTAGGACTACAGGCACATGCCACCATGCCTGGCTAATTTTTTTGTGTTTTTTGTAGAGACAGGGTTTCACCATGGTGCCCAGGCTAGTCTCAAACTCCTGAGCTCAAGCGATCCACCCTGCCTTGGCCTCCCAAGTATTGGGATTACAGGTGTGAACCACCGCGCCCGGCCCCCTCTTTTTTTAAATTTCTGTATTTAAAGAGTACATTGGGGATTGGAAATAGTTTAGATCAGCAGGGATTAGCCATTCCCTAAATGTAAACTTCAGTGGTGCTATACTTAGAGTGCCTAAGGTCATTTCCAAATCCATGAATCTGGACGTTGAAGTTATATTTGTATTCCCACCACACAAAATTTATGTCTGTGCCCTGTCTTCTTGGGTCTATTTTTTAACCAGAAATTAATAAGACATTGATTTGCCTTTGTTAGAGTGATTTCAGTGTTTCGAGTTATTAAGACAGGAAGTGTGAGTCCCTGTTGGAATTCTGGGTCAGCAGATTATTTACCTCTTCTACAATTGCAATGGAAATTGAAATCTATTTGTCCTGTGACATAGAATTAATGAGTATTCTTTTTTGCTTTTTCTCTTCTGAGCCAAGAGCTTTCTTTTCATAATTTATGTTGGAGGTGTTCCAGACTATGTTACTACTGCAAGAAGGTCCTTGCCACAGAAAGTTAGACTCTCATTTCTTTTGACAATATCAAATATTCAGCCTTTTCCTCTGTCTTAAGAATACATATAATATGCCTTAAGTTAGATGCTATACCATAGTGGCTTCCCTTGTGTAAGAAAATGGAGTGGAGGGGGCTGAGCTGGAGCTTCCATGCCTATCTGTTGGGCTAGAAACACCTCCCACTCAACTCCAGCCATTTGCCACTCTGCATAATTAGTGTACCTCATTTATTCAGAAGAAGCTGGAATCCCAGATTTTTATGTGAAATCTCCTGTTTTTAAAATATTTGATCTTTTTCAACATAATTTGGCCCAACAAAACTCTTACTGGCTTGAGTGCTGCCCTTGTACTGCCAATTGAAGTTTAACATTTGTCTAACCCTAAAGACTTTCAAAGTGAAATTATTTTTAGGTTCTTAACAAGGTTTTTCTATGCCAAGGTAAAATTTTCAAGGGCATATGAGGTATTTACTGTCTCACTCAGAGTTCTGTTTAAGTGAGCACATGGGCATGCATGTTGGAGAAAGTGTTGTGAGCTCTTACGGATAAAGTTTGAAATGCAACCTATTTTCAATAGAAAAAAGCCTCTTACTCTCAGATAGCTCAGAAAAACTTAGATTTTACAATCCTTTTAAGACTTAAGACTCTTAGGTCTGTGGAGTCAAAATGCTACGTGATATTTGTGGTGGATGAATTACTGAAAAACAGAATTCCTCAGCGAATCAAGTGTCTGATGCATAATAAACCAACCCAACAAAAAAAGCTGCCTTTCAGAGGCAAGAATATAAAACATGTGTAGTTAATTAAGCTATTTAAAACAGAAATGTTAGGCCTGGCACAGTGGCTCATGTCTGTAATCCCAGCACTTTGGGAGTCCAAGGCGGGAGGATCACAAGGTCAGGAGATTGAGACCATCCTGGCTAACACAGTGAAACCCCGTCTCTACTGAAAATACAAAAACATTATCCGGGCATGGTGGTGGGTGCCTGTAGTCCCAGCTACTAGGGAGGCTGAGACAGGAGAATGGCGTGAACCTGGGAGGCAAGGCTTGCAGTGAGCCGAGATTGCACCACTGCACTCCAGCCTGGGCCACAGAGCAAGACTCCGTCTCAAAAAAAGAAATGTTATGAAAAATTTGGAAATATTTGTCACTAGCTGTATGACCTTTTGAAAAAGGTCCGCCTAATACCTTGCTCATCTATAAAATTGCGGTATGATGATTATCAATTTACAGGATTGTGATGCATTTTAAATGAAACAAGTTCCATTACGTGCTTATTGCTGAAGGTATAATTCAGTGAATGTTCTTTCCTTTTCTTAGAGCAGAGTTTGGTATTTTATTTTCACCTAAGCCATTTTGGTCAGTTCTTAAGGCTTTGATTATTTTTTTAAGTTGAATGGTGTTTAGTGTGCCCGTGTTCATAACAGCATATTATTCACAACAGCCATACAGGCTGGGTGTGGTAGCTCATGTCTATAATCCCAGCACTTTGGGAAGCCAATGTGGGCAGATTGAGTCCAGGAGTGTAAGGGCAATATGGTGAAACCCTGTCTATACAAAAAATTAGCCAGTCTTGGTGGTGGGCACCTGTAGTCCCACTTACTGGGAAGGCTGAGATGGGAGAATCACCTGAGCCCAGGAGGTCAAAGCTGCAGTGTGCCTTCATTGTGCCACTGCACTCTAGCCTGGGCGACAGAGTGAGACCCTGTGTCAAAAAAAAAAAAAAAAAAAAAGATAGATTCTAAGAGGCCAAGGCAGGCAAATGGACAGATTGCTTGAGCCCAGGAGTTGGAGACTAGCCTGGACAACATAGCTACTAAAAATACAAAAAATGAGCTAAGCATGGTGGTACATGCTACTCCCGAGGCTGAGGTGGGAAGATCACTTGAGCTTGGGGAGGTCAAGGCTGCAGTGAGCCGTGATCATGCCACTGCACTCCAGCCTAGGTGACCCTGTCTCAAAAAAAGAAAAATGTGGTATATACATAGAATATTATTCTGCCTTTAAAAAGAAAATTCTGGCTCTCCCTCTCACTCTCCCTCTCCCCACGGTCTCCCTCTCCCTCTCCCCACGGTCTCCCTCTCCCTCTCTTTCCATGGTCTCCCTCTGATGCCGAGCCGAAGCTGGACTGTACTGCTGCCATCTCGGCTCACTGCACCCTCCCTGCCTGATTCTCCTGCCTCAGCCTGCTGAGTGCCTGCGATTGCAGGTGCACGCCGCCACGCCTGACTGGTTTTTGTATTTTTTTTGGTGGAGACGGGGTTTCGCCATGTTGGCCGGGCTGGTCTCCAGCTCCTAACCGCGAGTGATCTGCCAGCCTCGGCCTCCCGAGGTGCCGGGATTGCAGATGGAGTCTCGTTCACTCAGTGCTCAATGTTGCCCAGGCTGGAGTGCAGTGGCGTGATCTCGGCTAGCTACAACCTCCACCTCCCAGCCGCCTGCCTTGGCCTCCCAAAGTGCCGAGATTGCAGCCTCTGCCCGGCTGCCACCCCGTCTGGGAAGTGAGGAGCGTCTCTGCCTGGCCGCCCATCGTCTGGGATGTGAGGAGCCCCTCTGCCCGGGCTGCCCAGTCTGGGAAGTGAGGAGCGCCTTTTCCCGGCTGCCATCCCGTCTAGGAAGTGAGGAGCGTCTCGGCCCGGCCACCCATCGTCTGAGATGAGGGGAGCGCCTCTGCCCCGCCGCCCCGTCTGGGATGTGAGGAGCGCCTCTGCCTGGCCGCGACCCCGTCTGGGAGGTGAGGAGCGTCTCTGCCCAGCCGCCCTGTCTGAGAAGTGAGGAGCCCCTCCGCCTGGCAGCTGCCCTGTCTGAGAAGTGAGGAGCCCCGCCGCCCAGCAGCTGCCCCTTCTGAGAAGTGAGGAGCCCCTCCGCCCGGCAGCCGCCCCGTCCGGGAGGTGGGGGGGCAGCCCCCGCCCGGCCAGCTGCCCCGTCCGGGAGGGAGGTGGGGGGCAGCCCCTGCCCCGCCAGCCACCCCATCCGGGAGGGAGGTGGGGGGCGCCTCTGCCCGGCTGCCGCCCCGTCTGGGAGGTGGGGGGCGCCTCTGCCCGGCCACCCCTTCTGGGAAGTGAGGAGCCCCTCTGCCCGGCCGCCACCCCATCTGGGAGGTGTACCCAACAGCTCATTGAGAATGGGCCATGATGACGATGGCGGTTTTGTTGAATAGAAAAGGGGGAAATGTGGGGAAAAGATAGAGAAATCGGATTGTTGCTGTGTCTGTGTGGAGGGAAGTAGACATAGGAGACTCCATTTCGTTCTGTACTAAGAAAAATTCTTCTGCCTTGGGATGCTGTTGATCTATGACCTTACCCCCAACCCGGTGCTCTCTGAAACATGTGCTGTGTCCACTCAGGGTTAAATGGATTAAGAGCGGTGCAAGATGTGCTTTGTTAAACAGATGCTTGAAGGCAGCATGCTCCTTGAGAGTCATCACCGCTCCCTAATCTCAAGTACCCAGGGACACAAAAACTGCGGAAGGCCGCAGGGTCCTCTGCCTAGGAAAACCAGAGACCCTTGTTCACATGTTTATCTGCTGACCTTCCCTCCACTATTGTCCTATGACCCTGCCAAATCCCCTTCTCCGAGAAACACCCAAGAATGATCAATAAATACTAAAAAAAAAAAAAAAAAATACTGCAAGAACATCTGCCCCAGAACTGCCTGTCCAACCTGGACTGACATCATCCTTGTTATTGATCTTTGTAGCCAAATATAATTATTTTAAAACAAACAAAAAAAGAGAATGTAAGCAGTATAAGACTTTAAAACACACAAATGAAATATACATGACTACATGCTTCAGTGAACTAAAACTTTCATCTGTGATCTTTATTTTGCAACATTCTGAAGTAACATTACAGTCTTTTCAGTGTGCTGTGTCATTTATATCCCTTACTTTATCCTAGGAATCCTGTATTGCCATTGAGCATATGCAAATTGAGACATGTGCATAGCTTCTCCCCGTTGAGCCCATCAGTGGGGAGGAGCTATGTACCGGGGACATTTGGCAAAGATTTTCATGAGTCTCTTGGATGTAACAGCTCCTTAAGAAAACCTCAGTTTACCTTCCCTATTTTTTACCATTTGTAAAACTAAGGCTCAGTGATGTAAAATATAACACATTCTGTGCTGTGGCATAACTGCAGCTTAGGTTTTTATATTCAAGACAAGCAGAGGTATAGCTGAAAAGGTATGAACACTTACTATGCTTCAAGATCCCTTCGTTGGTTTAGTTGTGGCATTTTAGAACAGCTGACTTGGGACTAAAGCATCTTTCTATCTGGGATCAGTATTTCTAAGTTGCCTTTAAGCTGAATAAACATTTGGTTTTTATATTTAATTGCTTCGATGTGAAACACTGCAATTTAAAAAATTACACATATGTAATATAGTATTTTACACTAAATAATAGTGACTGGCAGTCCACTGGCCGAAGAAGTATTATTTTTCAGATATTCTGCTCTGTCATCAGCTGTAGACACTGACAGGTATTTATCTGGAAAGGCTTGCTGTCAGGGGTTCACAGTGCTGCTTGTGGGTTATCTCCAGACCCTTTACATTCGGCACTTTAGGACAGCGTGAGTCACAGGTTGCACTAGAAGTTGCCTTTGAAATTAGACCTAAACTATGTGGAACTGGAACCCTTGTACACAAAGCTCTCTATCATCCAAATCCTGCTGAACTCTCTTAGGAAAGAACAGTTTTACAGATTCATTCTTTCCACACACAAGATTTCCCCACTGCCCAGTTACTCTCACCTTTTTATTTTCTTGACTGTTATGTTTTACTTGACTCTGGAATCTTACCTTGTACTCTCACATTTACATGGAAGTATAGCTTATTTCACCAATTATACTATCAAAAGCAGAAGTAGTTACTTACACCTGAAAATTTGTACTGAGAATGTAGCTGTGAATATGTTTAAGAAAGTATACTTAAAGCACAAATCCAAGGAAGTATATTTAAATCAAAGCAAGAAATCCCATTTCCAAATGGCAATAAAGCATGTGTTACATAGAATCAGTGCATGAAAGTGTTTTAGTAGCCCAGATTAGATTGTACCCTGGCGAATAAGCAAGAGTTCTTTTTCATTTTCATCTTGCAATTCAACTGGGTATTTGGGTTCTTTTTCTATTCACTCATGTCAGATAGAGACATGCATGTTGTAAATTATTTTGTCAGAATGAAAGCCTGGCAGATTAAATGCTTTCTTCTCTTCTTGCTTTACTTGATATCAATCTCTTGTTCATTTCTTGATAATATGTTTGGTTATTTTTGTTTTCATTGCTTTTAGTGTCAGAGATGGCTTTGGATTCCCCGTTCTGTGTGCTGCTGTCTGGCTCCTGAACCCAGCTGTAGAGGTGTGTGTCAATCCCAACTGGTGAAGTACTGAGAAGAAGCTACACAAAAGGCAGCAAAGTATTAGTAAGTGTACCTCTGACATTTTAACCACCTCTGACTTTTCCATGGAATGGACAAGTAGTAGTCTCTGTCAGAGCTACATTTTAAAGGAGAAAAAGAAACGTGAAGTCATGAACTGTTTATTTATGCTGTTATTTTTGTGTTTACTCACCTCATTTATATTGACTTGTAAATTAGTAATTTCTGAACTATTATTTATCAATTCATTGCCTACATGTCAGCAAACAAATTTTCTTCTTAATAAAGAATCCAGTTGCTGGGCACAATGGTTCACACCTGTAATCTCAGCACGTTTGGAGGGCAAGGCAGGAGGATTCCTTGGGGCTAGGAGTTCAAGACCAGCCTGGGCAATATAGCAAGATTTCATCTCTACAAAAAAATGAAAACATTGGCTGGGCATGGTGGCTCATTCCTATAGTTCAGGCTACTGAGGAGCCTGATGTAGGAGGATCACGTGACCCCAGTAGTTTGAGGCTGCAGTGAGCTATGATCCTAACACTGCTCTCCAGCCTGGGTGACACACCAAGTTGCCATCTCTTCAAAAAAGGAATCTAGAGACATCAGTGTGTGCACAAGCATGGTTTGTGAATTTGGAAGTGTGTATGTGCATAGTTGTGCTCAAGAATGTGTTGATGATTATACCTTCTCAGAATGAAGGTAATTTTTTTTTTTTCTTTTTTTTTGAGATGGAGTCTTGCTCTGTTGCCAGGCTGGAGTGCAGTGGTGCTCTCAGCTCACTGCAACCTCTGCCTCCCGGCTTCAAGCAGTTCTCCTGCCTCAGCCTCCCAAGTAGCTGGGACTACAGGCACACACCACCACTCCCGGCTAATTTTTTGTGTTTTAGTAGAGACGGGGTTTTACCATGTTGGCCAGGATGGTCTCGATCCCCCGACCTTGTGATCCACCCACCTTGGCCTCCCAAAGTGTTGGGATTACAGGTGTGAGCCACCGTGCCTGGCCTGAAGGTCATTTTTATAAAGATCTCTCCACGTCTTAGATTTGATTCTTCCTTTAAATATTTTTCTCATTGACATTTGAAAGCACCTGACCTTATATAAAATGAACAATTTTCATAACTCCATAAAAGGAGAATTATGGCATCATCTATTTCTTTCTCTTGTCTCATAAATCTAAACCATCAACCTGCTTATTTTTGTATACTGTCACACTGTGTATTCCCTGCATTGAATGCCTGTCTGTTGACATTATCTGTAAAAATTGTGGGAAGTTTTCTGCACCCTGAAATTTCTGTTATGCGGATTAAATATCCACTATCCATGTTTTTCCAAGTCTTACAGTAGAAAGGGTAAATGCAGCCCTCACAGCAGCCTGTTGTTCGTCCTGCAAATGTGTTTCCATCACATTACACAAAGCCTCTTTGTCTTCGTGGTTCTACCCTACTAATAAGTTTTTTAAAAAATTATGTAATGTGTGTATATACAAATACCTATATGTATGTGTGTACACATACAGCTGATATCTGCTGAGATTATGTATGCATGAACTATAGAATTAACTTGTAATTTTAAGAAAATAAATTATTTTGTAAAGATAAATCTCATGTTTAAGAAGAGGAATTACAGTTGAATCATTTAGGGATGCCTCAGCCTAAACATAATATGGAAAAAGCCATAACCAAAAGTCATTTTAGAGTACTGCTAGGTTACTCAACCTATCATCACATTTAATTAAAATGTCAGTTTGAACCATGGCCAGTCTATGTTGGTTAATATGTTATTTAAATCAACTTGTGAAGTCTTCATTTTAAATATAGAATTTGTGTTAATGGACTGGAAAATAACATTCTATTGCTTGGAAGATGTGTTAAAGTCTAAAGATTTATGACTTTGTAAAAGAAGAAAACCAGGTGATGATCAGTTGGCATTAGTATATGAGGATGTACTCATATTTGGTAATAGCCATTTTTTCTAACTAGAGCAAGGGAGTTGGGAATGGGAGGCAGAAGCAAGGACACAGACATGTAAAAAATCATAGAACAAAACTGTATTGAGTTCTGAGTATGGGTCTGTGATCCATGGTTCAGTTTGAGAGGTTCATGTGTCCCTTATGAGAAGGGACAGGAAAGCCAGGAGGAAAGGAGTATGTTTGGGCCTGTGCCTCTGCTTCCACCACAGAAGTCAGCAGCTCTACCTTTCTCTTTTCTCCTCTTTATCTAATAATTGTCTCCTCTTCAAATTTGGGAAATGAGCTTAATCAAAGATTTGTTGTGTTTTGTTTGTTTGTTTGTTTTTGAAATGTGGCCTCAGTGTGTTTGCCCAGGCTGATCTTAAACTCCTGGGCTCACATGATCCTCCCTCTCAGCCTCCTGAGTAGCTGGGACTACAGGCATGATCCACTACACCCAGCTAAGTTAATGCTAATGTGTAGTTTATCTGCTTCAATTTTGAAGGGTAGGATATATATAGTTATGTGTGTGTGTGTGTGGGGGGGGGTAGTGTTTGTGTGTGTGTGTGTGTATATATATTTATATATTACTAGTCCATTGCTGCTACAACAAACTACCACTATGTCAGGGCATAAAACAAATTTATTACACTCCTGTATGTCAGAGTATGATGTGGATCTCACTGGGCTAAAATCTAGGTGGTGGAAAGGCTACCTTCATCTCTAGAGGCTCTAGGGGATCTTTTTTCTCGCCTTTTCCACATTCTGGAGTCTGCCTGCATTTTTTGGCTTTGGGCTCTTCTCCACTCTCACCATTAGCAACCTTGCATCCCATGGACTCTTCTTCTGTGGCCACATGTCTCTGTGGCTCTTTCCTTCCCCCTTCTCTTCCACTGTTAAGGACTCATGTGCTTACTTAGTCCTGAATGGAGACACCGTCATCATCCACATGAGCCCACTGTCCTAATCCATACAGGCTGCTACAAGGAAATGCATTAGACCAGGTAGCTTATAAATAACAGAACTTTGTTTCTCACAGTCCTGGAGGCTGAGAAGTGCAAGATCAAGGTGCCGGCAGTCTTGGTGTCTGGTGAAGGCCTGCTTTCTCATAGAGGCTTCCTTCTTGCTGTGTCTTCGCATGGTGAGAGGAACAAACAAGCTCCCTTGTGCCTTTAATAAGGTGCTAATCCCAGTCATGAGGGCAGAGTCTCCCGTAAGGCTTAACCTCCTAATACCATCACCTTGAGGGTTAGGATTTTAACACATGAACATTGATGGAACACAACGTTCACTCCATAGCACCAGGGTAGTCTCCTCATGTCAAGGTCTTTACCTGAATCACATGCATGATGTACCGTTTTCATGTAAGGTTCTAGGAATCTGTGGACATCTTTGGGGGGCCATTATTTTGCCAATCACATATTACATATATTTTAATATCCTAGACTAGTATGAAAACAATGCCACTTTCATTGCTTTATATATGCATATATATATACACATTGTCTAATGCTATAATTAAAAAAAAGTTGTAGACACAAATATACCCATTTAAAAAAAACCCATTTTTTGCTATTTTACTTCATACTGCCAACCAACTCCTTTTTCCTGAAACTGCTTCAACTCTGGAATTCTTTTTTGCTATTAGTTTTATTTTATTGAAGTATTCATGAACAAGCATACACTTGTATATGGATTTAAAATTCACAGTAATGTTTTCATGAATTCATCTGTGAATAACATTTTATAGACAAAATGTCTGCACTAGGACAAGAGAAAGATGTATAATTCCCTTGTTCTAAGGTACCGCCATTCATTGTTATTATTTTAAAATACGAGTGTCGACTGATGTTAAAACACAAAATGGGGCCGGGAGTGGTGGCTCCCGCCTGTAATCCCAACACTTTGGGAGGTGGGTGGATCACCTGAGGTCAGGAGTTTGAGACCAGCCTGGCCAACATGGTGAAACCCCGTCTCTACTAAAAATACAAAAATTAGCTGGGCATGTGTTGCGCGCCCGTAATCTTAGCTACCCGGGAAACTGAGTCAGGAGAATTGCTGGAATCTGGGAGGCGGAGGCTGCAGTGAGCCGAGATCACACCAGTGCACTCTAGACTGGGTGACAGAGCGAGACTCTGTTCTTCCCCCCTACCCCCCCAAAAAAAAAACCACAAAAAGGGATAATTGGCTGGGCAAGTGGCTCATGCCTGTAATCCCAGCACTTTGGGAGGCCAAGGTGGACAGATCACCTGAGACCGGGAGTTCAAGACCAGCCTGACCAACATGGAGAAACCCTGCCTCTACTAAAAATGCAAAAATTAGCCGGGCATGGTGGCACATGCCTGTAATCCCAGCTACTCAGGAGGCTGAGGCAGGAGAATTGCTTGACTTTGGGAGGTGGAGGTTGCTGTGAACCAAGATTGCACCATTGCACTCTAGCCTGGACAACAACAGCAAAACTCTGTCTCAAAAAAAAAAAAAAAAAAAAAGATTTATAACTGGGCAATGGAATTGAAAATCATTTTTAAAAATATCCAAAATATCTAAGGAACTTGTATAAATAAATAGGAAAAAAAAAAAACATCAAGAAGCCCACAAAAAAGCAGATTTGTAAATGGGCAATGGATTTCAATAGACATTTAGCCAAAGAAGATATCCAGTTGGTGAAAAGGCATATGGAAAGGTGCTTAGCATCACTGATTATCAGGAAAATGAAAATCAAAACCACCACGAGTGGTTTAGACCATAGCGGCATGCATGAAAGTTTTCAGACCTCCAGTTGTTGGGAGTGGCTGAGGACATTGGGGAGCTTCTGTCTGAGTTGGAAGAGTGGAGTCTCAACAAGAACCATTGTATTCTGGACATGTGTGGGCCCTGGAGTGTGCAAGGCTGGATGCCTTGTCTACCTGTGCCTTACAGAGTGACACCATTGTGGTGTGGTTGATCAGAGGTTTGTTTGCCCACGGATGAAAGCAAAAGTGAGTTGGCTTCCCAAGAACTTTTACCAGTAGCCTGTTTTGCTACAATTCTAGACCCAGACTGGGGTCCCAAGGCATCATAGCCCACAGCTTCTTAGCAAGTGCATGTTCAGTTGGATCCCCCAGCTCAGCCTGGGTCATCCCCACCTTCTGCCTCTTGGGCCATAGCTCAGCTCTGCACACTGAGCCATCATCCTATGGTGAGCAAGACCCCATTCTTGGGCTTCAGTCTCTTTCCTTGTAGCAGGCAATCAAGGTGGTGGCTGGAAAGGGCCAAGGAGCCACATCTCACAGTGCCCTGCTGCCTGAACAAGGACCAGAGGCCTGTGGAACACATGGCTCTCAGATTTCTCCCATTTGATGACTCATCAGCTGCCCCCACATGGCTTCCTAGCTCACAGCAGATCTAGCCTTCTCTGAGCAGTGAAGATGGGATGTTTTGTGGTCATTTTCCCTGGTGTGCAGAGCCCAAGTGGAGTTCTTCAGCACACCCTAGTCCATCCCCTCACTAACACCCCCACCTGTCCAGTCTTACCTGCCTTCATATCAAAAGCACACAGTTAACCCAGAGGGCTTCTGCCCTGCCCTGCCTGACTTTCTGGGAAACCCCCCTCTCCACCCACCCTAATCAGGACACTGTCTGAAGGTTCCCCCTCATCATTTTAAAAGAAAGAGAAATTTTTCTGCCACAGAGGTTCTGGTGAAGTGGCCTGCTCCCACATCACAGGGTGATGGCGGTTTGGGCTGGACCAGGATCAGACAGTGCTGTCCTGAGGCTGGCCGTCTGATAAGGGGCTACAGAAAGGGCAGTGGTGGAGCCCTGGGAGGCTTTCTGCTCTCCTGATCACAGGTTTTTGGTGAGAGGACCTATTGGCCACTAGGGTGTCTGCGTGCGTGTGTGTGTGTGTGTGTGTGTGTGTGTGTGTGTGATGTGTGTTTACTTGGATTGACTTCTTTCAGCATGAAGCCCACTGTTTTGCTGAATGTATCTCACTGTTTCCTGAAACTCAGTACATTCAGCTGGCTTAAGGGTCCTGGGGCCTCGCTGTGTCATATTTGCACAAGCCTAGTGTCTGTGCAGACTGTACACTGGAGTTCAGTTGTAAGACCCTTTTGATCCCTTATTCTGTTCCTGTAGTAGAAAAGGCATTTCACTCAATGGAATAGAAACCCAGATCCAATGGAGAGATATTCTAATCTGCCATACACTGGGGCAGTGGCCAGTGATTTGGACTTGGTGGCACAGATGGAAATTTCCAGGTTCTCTAGGTGGTAGGCAGAGGCCTCACTTTTTAAGAAACTCCCCCACTCCACCCCTGCCAATGAGGACGTTGCTTAGAGGTATTTCTATCAGTGTTGAGTAGAAGAGATCATTTCTTGATGTTGAATTTCAGGTAAGGATGCCAGCTTCTGCATATCAGGGTGGTGATGCTTGGGCTGAGACAGGTCTAGACAGCACTGTCTGAAAGGGGGCTCAAGGAAGTAGCTGTGAAAGGCCCCTGGGATGTTTTCTGCTCCCCTTCCTGCAAATCCCCTGGAGGGAGATCCTGTTAGTCACTACGGGATGTGTGTGTGTGTGTGTGTGTGTGTGTGTGTGTGTGTGTTCATCACTTGTTGCTTGGGTGTGGGAAGAGACAACAACAACCTACAGAATCCAGAGTTCTCAGTTCATCTCCCATCCTAGTCCAATCATGGCCTAACATCCTTAGCTACCGATCGCAGAGGAGACTGCGCATTTGTGTTCATGTGGCCTTGGATGTTGGCAGATTCAGATTGGTGCCCCAGACATCTGTGCCTGTAACTGCAGTTTCAGCGGGCTCAGGACCAGGCTAAAGGGCCTCCAAGCTTCCTCCAGTTTCCTGGTGCATGCATGTGCAATATACTCCCGTGGCCTGGGTCTTTCCTGCCGCTTCTTGCCAGTTGGGTCAGAACTAGCTTATTAACCAGTTTTTTCTGAGCTTTAATCGAACTGGCTCCAACCAGTTGGAGACTTGAAAAGGGCTACGTGATAGTTATAGATTTTTAAAGATATATTATTATTTTAGAGTAGTATTGAGTGTACAGCAAAATGGAGTACAGGGTCCAGAGATCTCATATGGCCTCAATTCCTGTACACTCTCAGGTCACTCCACCAATAACCTCCTACACCAGAGCCACTTTGAAACATTAGAAAATATATTTGAGCATTCAGAAATGTATAAACTAGGCAGCTCCAGACTGCAAGCAGCTCAGAGTTCCAACAGAGAGGGAGGGTGGGGGAAGAATTTTATATGGTGAATGTGGAAGAAAAAGAAAATACTTGATTGGGTAAAGTGGAGCAGTGGCCTCATTTGGAACATTACAGTGGAAAGTCTCTAGTTAGATGTTAGTTGGTGGTTTCTGACTGGTTAAACTTAAGTTTCCTTTTATTATTTACACTGAGTCAAGTTTTGGGTTATTTAAGGAGGAATTGAGTGCACTGCAGCCACCTCAGCCTCATGGCCACCTGTTTATTTGATTATTTTTAACAGAGAAGATCCTTTTAAAAATATCTGTTACCCTGGCTGGAGTGCAGTGACGTGATCACGGCTCACTGCAGCCACAACCTTCCAGCTTAGGTGATCCTCCCACCTCAGTGCTCCCCACCCTGAGTAGCTGGGACTATAGGCATGTGCCACCACACCACCATGCTAGGCTAATGGTTTGTATTTGTTTGAGAGATGCAGTTTCCCTAAGTTGCTTAGGCTTCTTTTTTAGACTCAAATAATCTGCATGCATTGGCCTCCCTTAGTGCTGGAATTACAGGCCATCTAAATCTTTTATCTCAGGTTTGCCTTGTGACAAAAGGAGGGGTACTTTTTCTGACATGATGAGGCAGAGAAAGGTGAGGTGGGCGCATCCTGTGCATATGATTTTCTCAGGTGATGGGAATATGGTTGGCTCTTGACTAATGGGATATATTTTCTCTTTGAATGATTTGGCAAGATATCAGATGAGAGAAATTGAATGAATGTTAGAAGAACATAGAAAAAACAGGTTATACACGTTGGGTTTCTGAAGAAATGATGTGTTTGGAGAAACAAAACTTTTATTGATTTCTGGAAACATTTAGGGCCAATTTTTTATGTAAGTAATTTGAATTTATGATGATATCTCTGACCACTTTTTGATATTTTTTCTGGTTCAGGTGAGTAGTGTCATTGAGCAAACACAAAGTCGGGCTCATCCAAGGATGAGATTTTGCCAGAGAAAGGACGAGCAGCAAGTCAGGGAGCTTAAGGTAATTATGGGAAAGTGACTATCTGCAATTGCTTAGGTAGAAGGAGACAGATTGGATTTTTGTGTGTTTGGTATTTGGGATAAGAGGGATGTGGGTGTGTTTTTGACATGGGTTGTTTATTCTCTGTCTCTCTCTCTCTTTTTTTTTTTTTGAGAGGGAGTCTCACTCTGTCGCCCAGGCTGGAGTTCTGTGGCACAGTCTTGGCTCACTGCAACCTCTGCCTCCCAGGTTCAAGGGATTCTCCTGCCTCAGCCTCCCGAGTAGCTGGGATTACAGGTGCCTGCCACCACGCCCGGCTAATTTTTGTGATTTTTTTTTTTAGTAGAGATGAGGTTTTACTATGTAGGCGAAGTTGGTCTCGAACTCCTGACCTCAGATGATCCACCCGCCTCAGCCTCCCAAAGTGCTGGGATTACAGGCGTGAGCCACCGCACCTGGCCTGTTTATTCTCTTAAGAGAGAAAATGAGGGGATTAGTGGACTGTAGTTCTGGACAAGGTGGAAAACTCTTAAAGTGGAAGTATTGGGGCAAGTGCTCTGACAGGCTAGGATGGTGCAGTCAGTCACTTCACCCAGAAATCAGTAGAATGTTAACAGTTCAGACTCAAACCTTGTGAAAAACAGGTTCTAGAAAGGAAATCCCTCACAGCAACTGGCACCATAATCAAGACAGAATTTTTGCAGAATAAATGGAGTTACCTGCTTTCAGCCCCAGGTCGTAGCTATTGTCTGCCCTGCTGATATGTGATAATAATTTGTGATCCTGTTGTCTTAAAATGGGGTCACTCATCTCCAGTAGAATTAAGTCCACAGTGAAGTTGTCCCCCCATCCCCAGAGATAAACATATATGAATGAACTCACGTGATAACAACTACTGCTGCCTGGGATCATGAGAGACCTGAACTGAACTGATAGGAAGTGAAAGGTGGCTGAGGTAATGAGAATAGACCCATCTGCAGAGGATCATAAAACCAGCAAAGACAAGATCTTGTCTAAGATGCCTTCACAAACTTTGTCCATGAGAACTCTAAGGACTTCTCCAGACCTGTTGGCTGCTGCTGTGATCTCTGCCCAAGAGGAGCCTCTGACCAACATCCAAAGGGCTTCTGGACCCACTGGACTCCTCTGGAGGTACCTTGGTCTCCCGATCCATGGCTGTGGTTTTTTACTCCGTTTATCACTGCCTGTGTGTAGAATGATAATTGCACAATTGATAGTGTGAAGACCTCTTGATAAATGGTGAATCTGAGCATATGTATTTGGCTGACATGTCATTGTGAAACCTCACAGCTTCAGTCAGTGTCAGCACAGCTAGGGAGCATGTACCTAATGCACATATCACTGGGCATAGTCTACAGGCACCTAATAACTCAGGTACCTTAACAGTCACTAATGAGTGTCTCTCCAAGGTCTAAACAATGGAAGACTGTAGAAGATGTTATTCATTAAGATATCTCAAGAATGTGGAAGACTATTATTCGCTTCTAAAGGGACAGGACTTCATAGGGCACCTGAAGAAACTCCCATGAAAAATCACTTTTACAAAATGTCAAGTTATGATATCCAAGATGAAACCAATGAGTCACAACATTCACATAATACACTGTACAACCCTGATCTCTTGACTGTCATCAAATGTTTCTTACCTCTAAACCAAAGTTTCATTTTATAATTTAATTTTTCTCATTTTTTCTGTTCTCTTAGCTTAAGAAAAGATCATTACAAACTTTTTGTAAGTTTTTCATATATGCTTGCAAAGGGTTGTAAAACTTTATTGTGATTATTCTTGCTTTAAGCTGAAACTTCCCTAATCTTTCTTTAGAGATTGTGGCATAGCATGATAGTTTCTTTTCCATATCCAATTGTTTTCTGTAATGAATACAGAAATATGGGCACTATTTTGTAACTTTAAATAGACATCATCTCAAGTCTACAAGAATTATCCAAAATGGTATTTAATGACATTTCTAGGTCTTCAGACACTATTAATGCAGATTGTACCCTCTAGGTCCTGAAGATTTTACTAGATACTGGTTACTGAAACTGAGCTTTCTTGAATTATTTTTCCTTCCACTGTGGTTTCCCGCATTTCAACACATCACCTATTTTTGTCCTCAAACATTACTTAAATTTTTTCCACAGAATTAAATTAAATATGAATCATCCCTCCTCTGATTTTTGAAATGACCCTTTGCTTCCTATGATAATGATTCTTCTGGTCCGTTTTGTAGTTATATGTTAGAGTTTGTAAATAGTCACACATTTTGCAACTGCATATAATTTTCTTATTATTTTTTCCTCTTCCTCTAAACCTGCTGTTATTTCTTTTAACTTTTTGTGGGAAAAATTAAACCCATCTTTCACTTTGTTGATATACTTATTTATAATTGAACTCCTTGATTTTTGCTCGAATTGCTTTTCAAGTTACCCACTTTTAGGGAAGACATTATTTGGGTTTTGTTTAGTGTATCAGGCTTTTTTTAGTTAGTTGTATCAAGAAGTGTAGACTTTTCTATACATAATATCCTTTTTCCCACAGTAGTTTTGTTTTTTTGTTTTGTTTTTTTGTTTTTTTTTTTAAAGTCTAGCCGGGTGCAGTGGCTCACGCCTGTAATCCCAGACTGTGGGAGGCCGAGGCGGGCATATCACGAAGTCAAGAGACGGAGACCATCCTGCCTAACACGTTGAAACCCCGTCTCTACTAAAAATACAAAAAATTAGCTGGACATGGTAACGGGTGCCTGTAGTCCCAGCTAATCAGGAGGCTGAGGCAGGAGAATGGCATGAACCCAGGAGGCAGAGGTTGCAGTGAGCCGAGATCGTGCCACTGCACTCCAGCCTGGGTGACAGAGCAAGACTCCATCTCAAAAAGAAAAAAAAAGTCTGTTAAAATAAAGGTCATCAAAAGATCTTTTCCTAAACCTTTCCTTTACCAGAAATATCTCTAGAGTCACATGGTCCTTTCTCCCTTCTTGCTTTTGTAGGAGTCCAAAGCTAATCTGTCCCTGATCCGGATTGCAGGCACCTGTGCCTTTTGGGGCCCTTCTGCATTAGTTCTTCCTTCTCTTCTAACCTCAAAAATGTGTTTTCTCTGTTGGCTCTTTCCCTTTAACATAGAAGTATACTCACGCTTTTGTTGAATCTTGGAATAAAAGTCTTCCTTTACCACATATCTCCCTTTAATACTACATCTCTCTTCTCAGCCAAATACTTGGGAAGAGAAGCCCTGAGTTTGTGTCATTGTTTTCTCACCTCCAGTTCACTACTTTACCCACTGCCTGACATCCAGCTCGCTCACACACACACACACAAGCCCAGTCACTAAGTTGCCATAGCTAATTTGTAGCTTTCCTGCCCTCCTGGCAAAATTTGACTCTGCATTGGGATAATACATGTTGAGTACCTATTGAACAGGCACTGTGCTAGGTGCTGCTGTTATAGATATGAAAAGAAGGCATCATCTCCTTTCTAACAACTCACAGGAGCAGCCATTCCTGATTCATATGCAGGTCTCTTGAGTCTCATTGCTCACTTTTGCAAGCTTCACTTAATGCCGTGCAAATCACCCTATTCTCCAGGTCTTCTTTCTTCCCAGTTCTCCTTACTATACACAACTTCTCAGGGCAGTCACCTCCACACCCATGGCTTCAATTGCTTTCTCCATTCTCTGAGAACAATAGAATTTTAAATGGCTTTTTTTTCATGTATTAGCTTTATTTTATACAAGGTGCCTCACTTGCTGTAACCATAGATTCAAAGTTGCTCCATGAAAGTAATAAATGAAAAATGGTGATTTTTTTAGCATGTAAATTTTAGGAAATTTCCCCAGTTACGCTTAATGGCTTGATTTAGTATGTATGTTATTTTTGAAAACATATGTTGGGATGTCACAAATGGACTTAGCCTACAGAGGTTTATATTCAACTTTTGACCAGAGAGTTCCATTTTAATGTGACACTGAGAGTAAAAAACTATCTTTTCCTCCTTACCTATTTCTCTTCCTACATTCTCGGCCAGGAGGAAGGCACTGCTACATACCCAGTCTTCCCCAGCAGAGCCTGAGCAGCTCTGTTTTCCTTCTACTTCCCCTCTTCTTTCACATCTCATGACCAAGCACTTCCTATTCTGTCTCCCAAATGATCATAGACTTTTTCCTCCGCTTTTGTCACTGCCACTGCCCTTAGCATTACTCTGCCTTTAGAGAAAGTCTCTTAATTTGTTTGGTTGCTTCCTTCAGTCCTTATTGTACAGACCACTACACACACATCTGACAGAGACTTTTCACCTTTTCATGGTTCAATGACTGAAATTCCCAGAATAAAATTAAAACCACCCCAGCATCAAATTTGAGGTCAAATAGAGGTGGGTTTGTATCCCAGGTTCATATACTGTCCAGCAGTATGGTCTCAGAAAACTGACCTCCTTAAGGCTTTGTTTGTGTATCTGCCTACACTCATTGAGAGTTGGGACTATTTCACACATACAGTGCCTGGCATGTAGAAGGGACTTAATCAATGTTGAAAGAAGGGGAGGCATTTTAAAATCCACATCAAAAAAATGTTGTTCTGTTCGGGAGTGGTGGCTCATGCCTGCAATCCCAGCACTTTGGGAGGCCAAGGCAGGTGGATCACCTGAGGTCAGGAGTTCGAGATCAACCTGAACAACATGGTGAAACTCCATCTCTACTAAAATACAAACATTAGCTGAGCATGGGGTTGGGCTCCTGTAATCCCAGCTACTTGGGAGGCTTAGGCACTTGAATGAGAATCACCTGGACCCAGGAGGTGGAGGTTGCAGTGAGCAACGATTGTGCCACTGCCTGGGCAACAGAGTGAGACTCTGTCTCAAAAAAAATAAAAAAAAAAATTCTTTTAAAAATATACGAATCTGGCTGGGCACGGTGGCTCATGCCTGTAGTCCTAGCACTTTGGGAGGCTGAGGCGGGCCTGACCAACGTGCAGAAACCCCGTCTCTACTAAAAATACAAAATTAGCTGGGCATGGTGGCGCATGCCTGCAATCCCAACTACTTGGGAGGCTGAGGCAGGAGAATCGCTTGAGCCCGGGAGGCGGAGGTTGCAGTGAGCCAAGATCATGCCATTGCACTCCTGCCTGGGCAACAAGAGAGAAACTCCGTCTCAAAAAAAAAAAAAAAATAGTGTTCAGCAAGGTTGAAGCATAAAAGGTTAATAGCCAGAATCATTTATCAATTGTATTTCTATACATCTACAAGACACAATCTGAAAATGAAATTAGAGAAACAATTTCACTGGGCAACAAGAGCAAAACTTCATCTCAAAATAATCATCATCATCATCATCATCATCATCATCATCATCTACAATGTCATTTCCCATCCAAGCTTGACTTCTACCTTTACTTTCTGATATGGTTTTGCCATGCCCCCACCCAAATCTCATCATGAATTATAATCCCCATAATCCTGATGTGTCGAGTGAGGGGCCTAGGGGGAGGTGATTGGATCACGGGGGCAGTTATCCTCATGCTGTTCTTGTGATATTCAGTAAGTCCTCATGAGATCTTATAGGGTTTTGTTTTGTTTTGTTTTTTGGGATGGAGTCTTGCTCTGTTGTCCAGGCAGGAGTGCCATGGCACGATCTTGGCTCACTGCAGTCTCTGCCTCTTGAGTTCCAGTGATTCTCCTGCCTCAGCCTCCTGAGTAGCTGGGATTACAGGCATGCACCACCACACCCAGCTAATTTTTGTATTTTTAGTAGAGACAGGATTTCACTACATTAGCTAGGCTGGTCTCAAACTCCTGACCTCAGTTGATCCACCTGCCTTGGCCTCCCAAAGTACTAGGGTTACAAGTGTCAGCCACCGTGCCCAGCTGAGATCTGATGGTTTTATACTTGTTTGACAGTTGCTCCTTCACATGTTCCCACTCTCTGTGCGGCCACCATGTAAGTCGGACCTGCCCTTCTGCCATGATTGTAAGTTTCCTGAAGGACTTCCCCCTCTGCCATGATTGTAAGTTTCCTGAGGCCTCCCCAGCCATGTGAAACTGAGTCAGTTAAACCTCTTTCCTTTAAAAATTACCCAACCTCAGGTATTTCTTTATCAGTGTGAAAACAGACTGCTATACTTTCTGATAATCATGCTTAAGCAATTGGGGAATTCAGACTAGCTGGGATCAAACTATGGCCCCACCCTTAGCAGTCATGTGACCTTGGGGAGGTTACTTACCTTCTCCGTCTCAACAACTTCTGTAAAATCTGTAACATGAGATTGTTTCTGAGGGTTAAATGAGCATAGCACAGTGGGGACACTGTCAGGCACACACTACTTGCCAGATGTCGAGTATTCCTCTTTATTGAAATAGGACTGTGGTAAGCCACTTTATGGCTCTCGATTGTGTATGAGAAAATCATGCTTAGTGCCTTGTTAGTAAAAGAAAGAAAACCTGAAAGTCCCTGCCATGGAAGGAAGAAATAGCGGGGAGAAAAGGGAGTTGGTAAGTTTCAGCATTTCAGAGCTTGGAGGGGCAAGTTAGGTTTCTATTTTATGGAGAAGGAGGTGGAGGCAGGATGGGTCCTAAGGTGTCATTCAAAACACACAGCCATAACTCTTTATTGAGAGTAGAGCTAGGGCCCCAGGGATTGCTGTGGTCAAGTTGCGGACAAAAATGACCACTCGTTGGAAGACAGGAGAGGAGTGTTTAGTTACAAAAGCAGTCAACAATTCAGGTGTATCTATATTCAGTCAGCAAATAAAAGTTGTTCAACTTGGTTGCTAATGGGACCCACTCTACTGAGGCTTTGTATAGAACTCATAGAGGAAGATGGCTTCAAGGAATGAACTACCCTGTGCTTTTCTTAGGACTAAAATCTCAGGAAGCTGGTGATGAATGAAAACCTTAGTCCCAATGGCACTGCACGAGGGGCCAGGAGAGCAGCAGCATCATAAGCCACAGGGTGGGGCAGCCAAGGCAGGGGCATTCTGAGCTGTTGGGGAGGGGTGGCAGGCAGGGTGGGGCACTGTGAGCTGTCGGGGAGGGCATTGTGAAGTGTGGGGTGGGGCATTGTGTGCCACATGCCTGGGCTCCCACCTGGGGCCAGTGGGCTTCAGTCTGTAGGTGACTACAGAAGGAGGAGGAACTCCGTCTGTTCTCTCTTCAGGCAGTTGTTGTGTCTCTCAGCGCTTGTTGGTTTCACAACCTATTAAATAAGCCGGCTGGTCTTCACCCTCCCAGACAAGTCAACTCAGGGGAGGCAGCAGGGTGCGGGCCTTGGCCCGCAGCCCTAGCCGGGGCCGGGGCCAGGGCTGGTGCCCGGGGCCTCGCTGTGAGGTGGGCAGGCGAGGAGCGGGAAGACCATCTCTGCAAGTGCAGCATAGCCTCGGCCTAGGACAGCGGGAGTGCGTGGCCAAAGCTGTGAGCAGAGGCACAGGTGGTGGCAGACAGTAGAGGCGCCCCATGGGGAACATACTGACCTGTCGTGTGCACCCTAGCGTCAGCCTCGAGTTTGACCAGCAGCAGGGGTCGGTGTGTCCCTCTGAATCTGAGACCTATGAGGCAGGAGCTAGGGACAGGATGGCAGGAGCGCCCATGGCTGCTGCTGTACAGCCTGCTGAGGTGACTGTTGAAGTTGGTGAGGACCTCCACATGCACCACGTTCGTGACCGGGAGATGCCTGAAGGTGAGGAGGTGATAGGTGCCATCTACCCTCGGTTTGCCTCTGGCTGCTGCTGTCCCCATGGTTCCCTTTGAGGCATCCCACACTTCGAGCTCCTTTCTGCTTGTAGCCAGCTTTCCCGGGGGCTGGCCAGGAACAAAAGCTGGCTCTGCCTTGAATTCCCACCCCTTAGTCTTTCCCCACCGAGTCCAGTCAGTTTCTTTTCGCCTCCCCTCCCAATCGCCCAGTTCTTGCTCTCTCATCTCATTCTCCCAGGCTGGCATGGGACCATTTATTTATGGCTCTTGTCGAATAAGCAGCAGTTGAATAAATAAGTTGATAAATTTTTATAAATGATTACATCCTTTTTCTTTTCTCCCTCTATACATATAGCTTTGGAGTTTAACCTTTCTGCCAATCCAGAGTCAAGCACAATATTCCAGAGGAACTCTCAAACAGAAGGTGAGACAACAGTGTCTGTAGCTCTATTTATTATCCTGTGGTACTTTGTTTAGGCTTCTTTGAGCTATTCTCTTCCTTTTCTCAGTAAAAACTCAAATATCCCAACTTTTCAGTACCCATCTTATTTTTTCTTTGTACCTATCCAGATGGTACCTAAGTGAAGGAACCAGGTAAGTGCCTAATTGTTTCCTTTGTTAAAGTAGCCAAATCTCAGGACAGTTCCTATTCAAATATTTGGGGATTTCTTATTTAAAATCAGAATGGAGGTTGCCACGGGAGAGGCTATATGGTATTCTTAATGGGCTGCTTTAAGTCACCTTGATAGAAGCTGCTTAGTTTCTTCTAACTGTAATTTGAACACAAAAGGAAAAAGAAAAAAGGAGAGTGCTTAAAGTAATTGTGAAAGGTGTAAAATGTCACAGCCGGGGCTGCAGAAAAATGGTTGTGTGTGTGTGTTTGGGGTTTCTCAAAGGAGTTTACCTATGAGGCTCTGATTACTTTAAAATTCTTACTTTAACAGAAAATGTGTCTCCAGATTTATTCTGGTGACTTAACAGACTTTATTTACCTGCTTGTTCTAAAAGAGAGGTGGGGATTGGTTCATGGTCAAAACTTTCAAAAGACATGAAACGTCAATGTAGACTTTTAATGTGTAATATAAAGATTGCAGGTTAAAATGTCAGACCTTCCCTGTAAGAGTGTTTGTTGCCGTGGCTCCCCGTTTGTCCCTTCCCCTCCTGACAATAGCATCTTGTTCAAAGATAAGAAAGTTACAGTTTTGGCTGGGCTTGGTGGCTCACGCCTGTAATCCCAGCACTTTGGGAGGCTGTGGCAGGCAGATCACCTGAGGTCAGGAGTTCGAGACCAGCCTGGCCAACATGGTGAAACGCTGTCTCTACTAAAAAAAAAAATACAAAAATTAGCTGGGCGTAGTGGCGCATGACTGTAGTTCCAGCTACTCACAAGGCTGAGGCAGGAGAATTGCTTGGACCTGGGAGGTGGAGGTTGCAGTGAGCAGAGATCACGCCAATGCACTCCAGCCTGGGTGACAGAGCGAGACTCCGTCTCACAAAAATAAAAAGGAAAGAAAGTTGGAGTTTTTTAGTCTCTATGCTGTTGGCAGAGGCAGGGGATGGGAGCCGGTAGAAAAGAGAAAACAATTAGTTCGTTTGCCTCAAAAATTTTGCAAAGAGATGAATCTAAGTAAAAGTAATTCTGGGTAATAATATGGTTCTTGAATAAAAACTGAAATTTTCAAAATAGAAAACATTGCATCATAAACATATTAAATCCAGTTGGCTTATTGGTTTCATTTAAATGCCAGAGATTTCATTACTGTAGAGGAAATGTCTTATAGCTCTTCTATTTAAACTTTGGTCGGGCTCTTAATTTTTAAAGAGGTAAGATAATTAAGACTCATTATGAGTGTGACTTTGTAACTTGGAAGTACTATCTTCACATTTCAAGATATTTAAGGATTGCTTTAGAATAAACAAATGCATTATGTGAATTAATTGATTGTACCTTTATACACAAAGCATGTAAGTACTTGTGTAAACTTATACTCTGCTTGGTGATGTTCGGAAAGCCTGATGGATGTTACACACCAGTTAGTAGATGGGTAGTGTTGGATGAGAGCCCAAAAATGGCTCTTTATTGTCATTCTTTAGGATTACAACACAGTTTATGTATGTCTCACTTGGCCCTTTCCAATAGAAATAAGGCCTGTGTATGTTCTCCCTATGTATTGTTAATGAAGAAATGAAAACTTAGAGATATCACATGACTATGGAAGACAGCTACTCAAGAGAACTAAGGTTCTGTGTCCTCAGAATGAAATGGAAGTGACAGATACGATGAATTTACTTTTTAAAAATTTTAAAAACTCTAGAATACATCTTATATTTTGCCTATAAAATAGACCTGTCTTTTAAAACTTACTGACATCTTGATTTATTTTATGCAAAGTTGATTTTAGACAACTCAAAGCCAAAATTTACCTCTTCTGTTTTTTTTTTTTTTTTTTTTTAATAAAGGAGGGTGTCATTGTGTTACTCTTGCTGGCCTCAACTTCCTGACCTGGGTTCAAGTGATTTTCCCATCTCAGCCTCCTGAGTAGCTGGGACTACAAGCATGTGCCATCTTGCCTGGCTCTATCTTATGTCTATACATTCATTTCAATGGATAAGAATCAAAGTAGAGAT